>NC_000006.12:66852806-67155836 GCF_000001405.40 Homo sapiens | reverse complement strand
AAGCCTGAACATTGATTGACTTGCAATGGGAGAATAACTATTTGCAAATAACATCAAGTAAGATTTTCCCATTCCTATGCTGCTATGCCTTTGGTTTCTAATCAGTATCCTAAAGACTATCAGTGTAGGAAAATAGGTCCTCATCATTTTAAAATATTACAGTCATTATACCTGAAAAAAGGATGCGATCATTTGGTTCTCTTTTCTATTCCTCATTGAACATAATATTGTGCTATGCTATCTTACATGCCCAGCTGTGCCTAGAGTTTCTTTAATCTTAAATTTTGCCTTTTTCTTTCTTGAATTTAGCCACAATCTAGGGATGGGAGACATTATCAACTGAGATGAAACAAATTGACTCCAGTCCAAGAATAATCTAGGTTGTTTTGGCATCAAGCTCCAAATGAGACATTTCCCCAGCAAACAAATATAGAGTTAAAGGCACTTTGAGAGATTTTTTTTCAGTAAAATGATTCATAAAGTAAATTATTCAAGATTTATCTCAGCTAGTATCTATCTCAAATATACACATGCAGTTACTTCAGACAAATCAGTAAGAAACAATAAAAACGTCAAATTTATTCCATGTAAATGTAATAGCTACCTGTTTAATATTTTAAAACAATAAGCTGCTTGGGAGGAGTTACCCATACTTTTAAACAGCTACTTCTAAAAGCTTTAGGATACATCTTTCACTTTGCCAGTACAAGGTGAAACACAGAGTTATATACTTGTGGCAGTTTTTTTTTTTTTTTTTTTTTTCGAGACGGTGTCTCACTCGGTCGCCCACGCTGGAGTGCAGTGGCCGATTTCGGCTCACTGCTAGCTCCGCCCCCAGGTTCATGCCATTCTCCTGCCTCAGCCTCCTGAGTAGCTGGAACTACAGGTGCTTGCCACCACGCCTGGCTAATTTTTTTTTTTTTTTTTTGTATTTTTAGTAGAGACGGGTTTCACAGTGTTCGCCAGGATGGTCTCGATCTCCTGACCTCGTGATCTGCCCGCCTCGGCCTCCCAAAGTGCTGGGATTACAGGCGTGAGCCACCGCACCTGGCCACTTGTGGCAATTTTATTATCAGGATTTAGATAATAATATAGAAATGTTAATGTTGTAAAATCAAATAGGTATAGATAATTATATGATATGAAATGAATATAATTCTTTTTTTTTTTTTTGAGAAGGAGTCTCGCTCGTCGCCCAAGCTGGAGTGCAGTGGTGCAATCTCGGCTCACTGCAAGCTCCCCCTCTCGGGTTCACGCCATTCTCCTGCCTCAGCCTCCCGAGTAGCTGGGACTACAGGCGCCCGCCACCACGCCCAGCTAATTTCTTTGTATTTTTAGTAGAGACGGGGTTTCACCGTGTTAGCCAGGATGGTCTCGATCTGCTGACCTCGTGATCCGCCCACCTTGGCCTCTCAAAGTGCTGGGATTACAGGCGTGAGCCACCGGGCCCAGCCAAAATGCATATAATTCTATAGATAAATATGAGAGTATAAGGAAATTATTTTAAATGACAAAAGGATCTCAACAAAGGCCATTGGAATTTAAAAAGTGCAATCTGAAAAATCCAAATTTTTAGTCTGTGAAATAATTCATGTTTTAAGTATCTTTCTCCAATAATATGTGAAATAAAACATTTGTGTGTGTGTTGTGTTTAGAAAGACTAAAAATAATTTTTGCCCAAATATATCAATTTTATCTTGATAAGTATTAACATATATAAATGTTAGAAATTCTTAATTACAAATAAATAATTTGTTTATCACTAAAAGCTCCATAGAAACATAATTCTTTGTTTCTAAGTAATTGCATATAGTGGAGAAGAACAGGTAGACGATATCAACTTAAGACATGTAACTTTCTTTATGGTACTGAAAATGGAGAGAGGCGGCCATTTCTAAGGGACTTTAGAACACCTTAGTACTGAAGAGAACATAGGAATCCCGTGACATCTAAATCCTGGAGCAATTATTTGTCTCTGCTTCTTACCTGTTTTATGAGCTTGGGTATTTTTTAAAAGCTGAACTTCATATTTCTCCAAAATTATTGTATCTCCTTTAATAGAGGAGGAAGTGTCCCCAAGAAGGAGAATGTTGGCACAGTAACTATTATTTAGAAAGAATATGTAAGTCCACAATAACTTATCCATGTTAGTATTCAAAACTGAATATTTATTCCATAACTTTGGTGACAAACTCATTTAGCACAAATATGTCCTGAAGTAATTTATAGTTTTATTTTTTTAATTTCTTGAAGCAAAATGTATGGACTACTTCAGAATAGTATTGTTTTAATAATGGACTTTCTTAATAATGGACTTTTAATAATAGACTTTCTGTGGTTTTACACATTATATTATAATCACTTCACAGTAGTCATCCTATATCCATGTTTTTACCTTTCATGATTTCAGTTACCTATGGTCATCCACTGTCCAGATATATTAAGTGGAATACTCCAGAATAAACAATTCATAAGTTTTAAATTGCACACCATTCCAAGTAGCATGAAGAAATGTCACACCATTGGTTTTGTCCTACCTGGGACATCGATCATCCCTCTGTCCAGCAAATTAAGGGACTACTGTACAGTCCCTTAGTAGCTCTCTTGGTTATCAGATCAACTGTCACAGTATTGCAGTGCCTGTGTTCAAATAACCCATTTTTACTTAATAATGGCCACAAAGCACAAGAGTAGTGATGTGGGCATATTGTTATAATTGTTTTATTTCAAAATTATCTATTAATGTTATTAATATTATTATAATTTTAATATTATTTAATATTATTTATTGTTAATCTTTTGTTGTGACTAACTTACAAATAAAAGTTTATCATAGGTATGTACATATAAGAAAAACTATATATATATTCTTATATTCATATATATCTATATACATATAGGATAACCATATATATTTATCCATACATATATAGGATTCCACATATATTCCTATAGAGAAATATATATATTCATATATAGTTATATAGAATATATATTCATATATATTCACATATAGTTATATAGAATATATATTCATATATAGTTATATAAGAATATATGCATATATATTCATATATAGTTACATAGAATATATATCCATATATAGTTATAGAGAATATATATCCATATATATTCATATATAGTTATAGAGAATATATATCCATATATATTCATATATAGTTATAGAGAATATATATCCATATATATTCATATATAGTTATAGAGAATATATATCCATATATATCCATATATAGTTATAGAGAATATATATCCATATATATTCATATATAGTTATATAGAATATATATCCATATATTCATATATAGTAGAATATATATTCATACATAGTAGAATATATATTCATATATGTTCATATATAGTTATATATAATATACATTCATATATTCATATATTTTCATATATAGTTATATAGAATATATATTCATATATAGTTATATAGAATATATATTCATATATAGTTATATAGAATATATATTCATATATAGTTATATAGAATATATATTCATATATAGTTATATAGAATATATATTCATATATAGTTATATAGAATATATTTTCATATATTCATATATATTCATATATAGTTATATAAAATATATATTCATATATTTCATATATAGTCATGTAGAATATATATTCATATTTATTTTATATAGTTATAGAGAATATATATTCATATATATTCTATATAGTTATATAGAATATTGACTATATTTTTGACTATATAACTATAGTTATATAGAATATTGACAGTATTTTTTTTTCAAATAATGAAATACCTAACTTTAAAAAAATTATTGTTTAAGAGTCCCACGTTGGGTTTATTGACTGTAATATATCTATTAGCAAGCAGATGCAGAACAGATAGGTGGATACTGAAGTACAAGATCCTCTCATACCATTTTCGCCTAAACCTAGATTCAGAAAAAAAAACAAATATCTATAGCAAAATAAATTCGACCCACACCTCTTCCTTACATTAACATTCAGAATATCATTTTGCAGAACTTTCCTATATATATACTGTTTAAAAGGATGTCATCACAAACAAAAAGTTTGCATTATAATACTGAGAATCTGATTAAAGTTTTGCCTTTTGGGAGCATAGAGTCTTGATGTCTTGTAAAATGCAAAAGTTGAAATAAAATATTGCAGATGCTACACAGAGGTTTAAATAAGTAATGTCAGAAGAAAAAACAAGTCACAAAAGTGAGGACAAACCTAGATAAGTCAGAATGGAAGTGAAGCTGAAGTTAAGGCACATTAGACTAGTGACATAATATTTGGAATATTTCTCCACACTTTTCTGATAAAATTCAAGTGAAGTTAAATAAAATGAGCCAAATTTTACGTTGATACTTTATGAAAATGGAACTGGTCATATATAAATTAGGTTACATGATTCTTGGCTTACTAATTGTTCTATACCATCTAATTACATTTTGTGAGGTAGTTTTTATTATTATTCCACAAAACTGCGTCCCTTATACTAAACCAAATCTCCTTGATAAAAGGATATGTTTTTTTTTAATTTTTACTCCCATAGCACCAGCAGTCAGCTTTGTAAATGGAGCTCACTAAATATATTTTGATTTGAATTCTCTTTTCTACCTGATCTTCTGTCCTCCTGCCTTGTGTCTCTTACCTACTTTGAAATTGTAACTCCACCACAGAAACCTACTCCCATGACTAAGACCCTCAAGTTCCCTCCTACCCACTTCCCATAATGAAATGATTTAGTCTATTGTGCCCATTTGATCCTTGAGCCTTTTCTCATCTTTCATTGCAACTGTCTAGTGTAGATTCCACACACAAGCCTCCCATGGACTGGTCCATTTGATTATTCCCACTTATTTCTATTTTTGTTTCTAACTCTCCATCTAAATATGCTTATTGAGTTTTATAGAGCTTTATAAATATCAGGTTTTTCATAACCTTAAGAATAACAAACACCTAAATGGCTGAAGTTTTATAACACTTTCTGTTCAGAAAATCAATGGTTCAATTATTTAAGTTCAGATGAACAGTTGCTTTTGCTGCAATGTTTCCTTTTTAGTTATTCACTTATCAATGTCAATAAACTCTGCTTACTCAAGATCATTAACTCCAATATAAGTGAACTGTAGTTGCAGAAAATAACTTAAAAATACTATAACTCAGAAGTGAAAGCCATGTTATTTATTTTAAAGGCACAGAAGTGTCTGATGAAATTCATATTATAGAATCAAATTGTTGACAAACTATTCTTGGCATCTTGACATTTTTAAACATTATCTTATATTTGCTTTGATAATGGTAGAGATATTGCACTATTAAATTTAGCTTTCAAAATACCATAGAAGATAGTTAATTAGGCAAAACTCATAATTATTTGCATATATATATATATGTAAACTACATTTATTGTCAATCTTTAGCTTAACACTAGGAAATCAGGAAGATTTATCAATTATCTCAGCAGATCTATTCAATATTGTATGTTTTGTTCCATGGGTTTATTTTTATCTGAAATTCATTTTGACTTGAGCAGAACTACTTCAGTTAGGGTTTCCTAATTTAGCAAAAGCAAAAAAAAAAAGGTTAAATTTAAAATTTAGATAAATAAATACATTTTAGTATAAAGTATTTCATATAAAGTATATTGAACACTTATACTAAAAAGTATATTATCTAATATTCAAATTCCATAGGATGGCCTGTATGTTATCTACTTATTGTAAGTTCTGTAATAGCAAATTTTTTAAAGGTATCGATGAAGAAATAGAGGAAAGAGAATATTATAATATTTTTGCCAGAAAAAGAAAAAATACATATATATATGAAACTATATATATAGTAGGCAAAATCATGTTCTCTAGGACATGGGCAATCGCTCTTACAAAACTGGCTCATCTGTTATGTAGTAAAAACACTTATTAATTTTAGTGATTTTCTTTTTAGTTTGTATTTAAGTAAAATGCAAACATAAGTAAATGTATCATACACAATTAGTAACTCAATAAATTATACAAACTAACTCAGCCATTCTCCATAAAGTTTCAGATTATTTTATTGGACAATGATATTTAGAAACTATGATGTGAATGCCAGCTTATTAATTATGTGGCATAATCTATATATGTTTATACTTATCTTTCTGTGTGAATATTTGTGTATGTGTGTACAGGACAATTAGGGAAAATATCATTTTTTTAATATACAGATAGATGTTCCTTAATGTATTAGGTTGGTGCAAACGTAATTGCAGTTTTTGCACTGAAAGTAATGGCAAAAACCTCAACTACTTTTGCACCAACCTAATATCATGGGGCTACAATTGCCATGGTATATTGAAAATATTGTAAGTAGAAAATAAATTAATACCTTGATAAACCCATCATAAAGTTGAAAAATAATAAGTTGAGCCATTCCAAGTTATAGATCGTCTGTATAGATATATCCTGCAACAATGACAAACTAGCTTATTAAATCTAATGGTTTTTCTGGTTCTTTTTTTGGAGGGGAGGAGAAATGTTTAGGATATTCTAAATATATAATATTGTTGACTTGTGAATGCAGATAGTTTTATATCATTCATATAAATGTCATTGAATTTTATTTCTTGTCTAATTTTCCTGAGTTTATTTTAGCTGTATTTCCTCTTATACTTGTGCATGTAACCAATCTTTCATCACAACTATGAGCTCCACCCCACCTCATCTTTCATTGATGCCCTCCTCTCTCTGCTCAGGTGCCAACATACCACATCATTCCATTTCCTTCTTGATGCTCTTCTGATTGTTCCTGGTCTCCAACACTCTGCTCTAGCACACTGTGACTACACCTCTTGCTTCTGCAAAGCACAGATTCCAACCTTGCTTGATGGATTGAACTGATCAGACAGAGAAACAAAATGAAAAAGGAGGAAGAAGAACTGAGGGCATAATTAAGGTGATGATTTGCTGAGAGGGAAGTTCTCCAGGTTAAACAGAACATATTTAAGGGTTAGAAACAGAGAAATTGTGATTAAATTTAAGATGACAAAAATGAATATCTTTCTAGATTTTTCATAATGCATCTTATGGTCTTCAAAATATTTTGGGTTCCCAAAAGATTAAATAAACATATGTAAATGTGACCATAAAGTATCAATTATGCAAATGGTGATTTTAGAGATAGCTAATAGTTAATTCTTAAAATAATATCTGCACTATTATTGTCCCACATAAAGACAGATGATCTTCCTGTTGAGGGAGAAGGTATTGTGGCAGGGAGAATTATTTACATCACGTACACACAAGTCTTGATTCCAGTACAACTGTTCTGTCAGACAGCAAGTTTCACAAGTACTTCTAAGCACTTATGTTATAAATTAATATTCTTCCCTGTGTATTGAAAGTAGACTTTGGATATGCCATTACTGGATGCACCAGTAATATTCAGGTCAAAATTGCTCACTTTCAAACATTTCAAAATATAAATAGGATTTTTCAGTGAACGAAAAACATTCTATCTCAAGGGGAGCTCATGTGAGGAGCAGTGGAGCTCCTTTAATCTTCTACTCCCTGCCAGTAAGGAATTGCCAAACTTCCCTGCACATGTTGAGTGGAGAATTTCCTAGGTATCCAGAGCTTGAAAGGTTCTAATGATGAATTCTAAGCAGGCCAAAAGCTCCACTGAGAATTGTTCTTAATGTGTCTGTAAGAAGGCACAGTGGGAATAAAATGGTCTGCTGCCAGTTGAAATAAAAATTTCAACTACAAATACAAAAATAAAAAATTCTAACAAGAAGCAACATAGAAACTCTGATATACCAAACAATTAGAAAACTAATAGAAGCCAGTTCAAAGCTGAATGAGACAAAAATTATATATCTATTTCTAATATGCTTACTGTTTTATAAAATCAAATAGTGTAATTGCCTACACACACACACACACACACACACACACACAAATTTATCTACTATGTACAGCTCTTTAAAATACTGTTAGAAAAGCCAGAAAAGCTTCAACTTTTTAACTGAATAAGACAAAGTGAAATGAAGGAGCAACATATCTAAGTCTGAACATTCTTCAAACTTTTTGGAAATTCCAACTTCACAATGAGATTATATACAATGTCACACTGACTAAACCCACCTAGTGTGGCAAGGGTTTATAATGCTTAAATATAAAATATTCACACGAAGTAACTCAGTATTATGTTTTATCAACTGGCAAACTTTGGAAAAATCACGACAAAATTAGTCTACTGAAATGAATAAACAAATAAAAAATAATTAGTGGATTATTATATATTAACATGAACAAATCATTTTAAAGATTAATCAAAAATACTGGCTATTTACCTAAAAGCTTTAGATTTAACTCTGCTAATGTAAACCTTTAGCTCTGCTTGGTACTGAAACCACACTAAATATCCAGGAAAAGGATATTAATATCATAAAATAATAAACATAATGAAGTAAGCCAATTTTCAGTACACATAAGCCAAAAGGCCAATAAATTGCTGTGTTTAAGGACTGCTGACACAAGACAGTGTTTCTCTGCCCTGGTCATACCCTGATAATGTAAATTACAGCAAATTTTTAGTTACACAGCATGAATACATGCTGAAGATCTGGTGTATGTTATGGTGCCTATAGTTAATAATACTGTATTGTAACTTAAAATGTGTTAAGAGAGTAAATCTTAATTATTTTTCTCATCACACACATGAAAGGGGGTAATTATTTGAACTAAGGAATATAAGTTTGATTTTGGCAATTATTTCACAATGAAATATATATATCAAAACACAATGGGGTACACAATAAATATATACAATATTATTTGTCAATTATACATAAATAATTGTGAGGGTAAAGAATAGAATTGAATTTTACTCTCTGAAGGAAAATCAGAGTTTCTTGTTATAGGAATCCCAGGTATAACTGGATATGGATGTTAAGGAGGAGATTAATTTCTTAAAAAAATAAACACAGATATCCATATTTTATAATGTATACCAAGATTAGAGGGTCTCCACGTTACTGGTTTACCAAATGACGGTAATGTAGTATACTGCAAATAGAATATTAAGACATTTTTATCTGTGAAATTGGATTAGTACAGTGAAAAAAGTCTTCAAATTTCAGCAAAATGGAGCTTTATGTTAATTAATCTTATCTCTGAGCAAAAATCTTCAGTTCGATTACTGTTGTCTTGATCTTAAATATGAAGAGAAACTACAGAATAGGCAGATACACAAGAAATCCCTTTAAATTAAAGAGTAAAACCAAAATAATCATTGAAAATAGTCCAAAACAAATAAAATAGCGCACAAAGACAAAAACTTAAAACGAAATTGTTCTCTGGGATATTAAGAGACTTATAACACATTTATGAAACAGAAACAGGATATTATAAATTTGGAATATTTACAGTAATAAAAAAGAGTTCTTGGAGATTAAAAATGTGATAGCATAATTTTAAAATACACACATATCTCAGTACAAAAGTTGAAATCTTCCAAAGTGATATAAACCAATGAAAAAACAACTTCTACTTTTGTGAAAATGAAGTGGACATACAATTCCCCATTCTTCCCAATAAGTACAATAATAACTTAAGGCTTTACAAATATTATTTAAAAACATAAAAGATATTTTGAAGGTAGAGAAAATGCAGACAAGCTGGAGAGCCTGGGACCTGAAAAATAACATAGTGGTGAGCTCCTCGTGTTTCTTTTTTTGCCTCACATATCCCAAAGTGGATGCTGAAGAAGCCATAAAACTAGATACTCCAATGGATGTAGACAAATAAAGCTCTAACAAAATCCTGCTATCTCTAGCCAAAAGAAGGCAAAAGGCAGTTTAATGAGAGAGTTAATTTTTAGACAATGCCTGCACTACTCCAGACAAACCACAGGAAACTTGTGGTCCCTCTCCCATCCTTGTCAGTAAAGGATGAGTGAGGCATCTAGACTTTCACTCTCTCCAAATTGTAATGAGGTGTCATGCTAAGGATTGAATGTTTATGCCTTTCCCAAATTTAAATGTATAAACCGAATCCCCAGTGTGTTGGTATTAGGAGATTAGGAGGTAGGGCCTTTGGGAGGTGATAAGGTCATGAGAGTGGAGCCCTCATGAATGAGACTAGTGCAATTATAAAGAGCTAGAGACCACAGTTCTCTTCTTCCACTCTGTTAAGACACAGTGAGGAGACAGCTACCTATGAAACTGAAAGCTGCAAAGTAGGCTCTCCCCAGACCCCAAATCTGTCAGTACCCTGATCTTGGACTTCTCTAACTCCAGAACTGTGAGAAAAAAATTTTCTCTTGTAAATAAGCTACCCACTTTATGGTATTGTTATAGCAACCCAAATGGTATTTAAGACAGGGATGATGCATATGTGGACAACAAAATTAAAAATAAAATACCATTTACAACTGCTATATATATGCAAATTTATCAAAATGTATATAGGTTTGGTATGCTGAAAACTATACAACATTAATGAAAGTAATCAAAGAAGATCTAAATAAAGGGAGGTATGTTACCATTATGGATTGGAAGACCCAACATAACAAAAATGTCATTTTTTTCCAAATTGATAATAAATGTTTAATTAAATTCCTATCAAAATTCTGGCAAGATATTTTGTAGATTTAGAAAAAAGTATTTTAAAACATTCTTAGAAAGACAAAGCACTTGAATAACTAAAACAATTTGGAATAATAAGAATAAACCTGGAAGAATAATCTATCTGCAATTATGGTTGTTATATAGCCACAGCAATCAAGACTGTGTGATATTTTTAGAGGGATAGACATACAGATCAATGAAATAAAACAGATATCCAAGAAGTAAACCCACATAAATATGCCCAATCAATTTTTGACAAAGGTAGAAAGTCAATTCAATGGAAGAGAAACACCTTTCTCAATAAATAATACTGAAAAGAGAATATATGCAAAAAATTAACCTCAAGTCTAATAAGGCGAAATAACCTCAAATCATATAAGGCAAAAATAATTGAACATGTAATACAGATTTAAGTATAACCGCAAAACTATAAAACTTTTGGAAAAATAGCATAGAAAAAAATATTAGGGATATAAGGCTAGACAAAAATGTCTCAGATATTGTAACAAAATGCAATTAATAAAAGGAAAATGTGATAAATGAAAATGAATAATATTAAAATAAATAAAAAGGAAATTAAATTTAAAAAATTGATAAATCAAGCAAAATTAAAAATGTTGTTCAGTTAAAGACCTTACTAAAAAGATATAGATGCAAGCTACTCACTAGGAGACTGTATATACAAATGATATTGACAAATGGCTAGTTTCTGGAATACACAAAGAAGCCTCAAAACTCAAAGTAAAAAAAAAAGTCATTAAGAAGTGAGCAAAAGATGTTAAGAAAATGATTTAAATTAAGAGGCTATACCAATGGTAAAAAAAAAAAAATCCATGAAAAAATATTCAACATCACTGGCTATTAGAGAAATGCAAATTAAAACCACATCGAGCTATTACTTCACACTTATCAGAATGGCTAAAATAAAACATAGTAATAACGTGAAATATTGGTGAGAATGTATGGAAACCAGATCATTCACCTATTGCTATTTGGAATGTAATTCCCCTCTAAGGAAACACTTTGGTCATTTATTAAAACAAGTAAACAAAAAACTAAAAATATAACTACCATACGACCCAGAAATTTTACTCCTGGACATTTATTCCAAATGTATGAAAACTTATCTTTAAACAAAGAGTGTGTACCTATGTCTCTTGCTGCTTTATTCAAATAGCCGAAAACTAAAGCAAGCCAATACTTCAAAAAATGCAATAAAAAGGATGAACTATTGGTATATACAACAACTTGGATAAATCCCCAGGTAATTATGATGAGCAAAAATGTCAATATCAAAGGTACATATTGTGCAATTCTGTCTATGTAACATTCTTGAAATAAAAAAATTATAGAAAAGGGAAACATATTAGTAATCACTGGTGAGTAATGAGAGTTGAGGTGGGAGGGTGTGAAGTTGAAGTGTGTAGGCTATAAATGGGCAATATGGGCATCCTTGTGGTGATGGCAATATTCTGTATCATTTTATACTGTGGCTGTATCAGTGTCAGTATCTTGGCTGTGATACTGTAGTATAATTTTGAAAAATGTTAATTTTGTGTGAATAGTATGGGTTTTCTGTATTTATTATGATGCAATGTGAACCTACAATTCTCAAAAAAACAAAAGTTTAAAATAAAGGGCACAAGAAGACAAGGAAAGACTGAAATTAAATAATATAGATTGATAAATAATAATAAACTTTATGTTCCAGAGGCTCAATCTTCAAATAAAATGAGTTTTTAAGCAAAAGAAAAACCCAAATAGAGGAATTATTCAAACAAACCAAGACAATTTTTCAAAATTAAATACATTTGGATATTTTGATCTAAAAGTGCCCATGTAGCCTGCAGTAAAATAAATGTACTCTGTTAACTTGTTTATTTTTCTTTTCGTTTGCTTTTTTGTTTTTCTGAAAGGAAAGTATGAGACAAGAGTTTGATTGCAGGTAGTTTATTTGCGTGTTGATTCCTGAGAGGAAGAAGGAGGGATCAAGGAAACTGAAAACAGTAAGAAAGGAAGGACAACATAAGAATATGTAATCAGTGATATGGACAACTATAGCTCAGTTCCATTGCAGTGTTCTGAGGAAAACATGGAATGCTTTCTAGAATTTTTCACTCGAAAACAAAACAAAACAAAACAAAACAGTGAGAAGCATTTCTCCATTAGTTTCCATAATTTTGAAATGGGAGATTCCCTGAACCCCCCCTTGTAGGACATGCAAGGAGGATGTGGCTCTCCATTCAGTCACCAGGAGCTCAAACCCCTTATGCGAGGGGGAACATGCAGATGAGCAGGTGCAGGAGCCAGAGTGAGTGCTTTGGGCTCTCGACCACCTCCTCAACTGGTAGTATCTAGGGGTGGGTGGGTGTCTGCAACTCTCACAGCCAAGTGGGCATGTTACAGTGCACTCTTTCAGCTTTGCCATCCACAGATAACTTACAGGTTAACCAGCTTAGTGAACTCTCTGCCTTTTCACAAGGGCAGAGGGCTTTCTGTATCCTGAGCTGTGTCCAGTGTCCCAGAAAACTTGAGTTACACAGGGACAGGAAGGATGAACGTGGACATTTTATTGAGTGGTGGAGGTGGTTCTCAGCAGTACCTATGGGGAACTAGAAAGGGGATGGAGTGGAAAGATGATCTTCCCCTGGAGTTTGGCATAACTTCTCTTTGACTGCCCCCAGCCAAACTCCTCTCAGTGTTCAGATACTCCTCCTCTTTCTTTCCCTATTGTGCTGTTCTGTCATTTGTCTCCTTGTATCCTTGTCTCCTCCTAGATCCTGGGGTTTGGTGTTTACATGATAGGAGGGTGTGGCGGGCCAAAAGACAACTTTTGTATGCAAAAACAGGAATGCCTATTCTCACTTAGGGCCATAAGTATCGAGGCTTGAAGGTGGGGACTTTGCTGGGGAACCTCCCTCTTTTACCCAGTATTTCCCTGTATTCTGTCTGTATCAATTTGTTGGGGGATGTATTGAGGAACGTACCAAGGCTTGTTAATTCCCAGTACTCCAGGACCATAGCTTGGTCTCCAATACTGTTATTATAAAGTTTCAAATATCCTAATTGTTGAAGTTTTATGTAACTTGGTTTCTACCTCTATGGCAAAGTTCTTTGTAACATTTTTTTATATATATAGTGCTCTAAAATTTCTCAAGGATGTATTTTAATTTATAGCCACACATCAGGTGTTTCTTTTGCTCTGCATTGCATCGTCTTAGCTACACATGGCTGCAGAAGAGAATACCCTGCAACTTCTTGCCTATGTTATCTTCTCCAGAAGTGGACATAGAATGTTTCTGTTTTGTTTTGATTTCTTCCTTGGGAAAGTTTACATACATGTAAGTTCAAGAGTCACAATACTTTTCTTCAGCAATATTGGAAGCTGAAAGGCCATGGGACAGTGTCTTTACAATTTGAACAACAAAAACATTCCAAAATAGAAATCTACACACAGCCTTGAATTATATACTCAGCAAATTAATAATTAAGTGTTTAATTTAAGTGATTTTCTGGTGCTTGGTTCTCAAGAAATTTACTGCCACATACCACTTGTCAAGAAGATACACAAGGAAGAACTTCACATAAAATTAGGAAGCAAACTAAGAAGGACAAAAGCAGGAGATGCAGTGAACAGGGGACCTCAGAACAAAAGAAATACAGACAAGAAAATTCTAGAATTTGGGCCAAGGAAATTTCAGCATAAGAGCTCTGCAGCAGATCTTTAGATTTCATAGCATCAGATCTTTCCAGGAAAGATAACTTTAAAAGGACGAAAAAGTTGTTAAAAAACATGATGCTTTAAAAGTATTGAAGATAAATTTATACAACTGAAGGGAAGTGTTGGAAGTGACTGAATGATAAGTATGTAGAAAACTAAGTAAACACAGACATAAGACAAATATTAACTGAAGCAGCTAAAGAAGCAAGCAAAATTGCTTGAGACAGGAAAAGTAAAATTAGCATATAACGTGACTCAACTCTGTAAACCTTTTCTTAGGAGTGCTCTATTCAAATTTATAATCCGGCAACTTCAGGCTAATGAACGAACAGGAGGTAACATGAGCTTATGGAATTGTGCAGATTTACCATAAGGCTAGTAAAGTTTGCATGAGACCTTAGTCTAATTTGCATGAGACCTTAGTTACGTGTTTATACAGTAAATTTTTTTTGGTAGAATTTGCAAAAGTAAAATATTCTAATTGTAATTTATAAAGAATATAGTTGTTTTTTTTTTCATTTCAATTTGCACTTGGGACAGTTTCTACACCATTCTGATCTCTCCGTTGATGAAGGGAAAGTCTACCTTGGTATTCACCTCCTATCTTACAAATAATATGTTCTTATAGTAATGTAATTCTCATGGAGCTTTCAGATCTGAATTATATGGACAATTTTGCATATGCATATATACAACTAAGAACATAGTTTTGAAACAGTCTTTAATAATTGCTACAGATTCATAGATATTACAAAAACTTTGTAAAAATGAATGTTTTTATCTACATTTTGTATTTTATTCATTAGTATAAAAGAGCCATTCACCACCATCCTTATAAAAATGAGTAAAACATTCATAGTGTTGTCATATCTTCATTGATAAGATAAAAAATGCATGAATGTGTTATGTGGGAAGGACTGGTGGTTGAGTCTAGACCTGATGAATGTGGAAAAAAGAATGAAGTGAACTTCCACAAAACATAGTCTGAATATTGAAGTTGGTTAAATGATGGCTAAAAAATGAGGTCTGTTAAGAGAAATAATTTCCCACACCCACTTTGTATAGAGCTTAATACACCAATATGGAATATTTAAAGGAACCTAAAATTATTTAAAAATATGTACTATAAATACATTATATAGGCCATAAATTTTACTGTTGAAATAATAATATGTGGAGTTTCCCCTTTGTAGATAGGTGATTATTACTGATAAAATATGGGATTTTTATTTCAATTATATATTCTAAATGAATATTTTATGAAAGTTTGCCTAAAGTTACTTTAAACTATTTTTGTCTCAAGTTTAAATCATATCCCTTTCTCTTAGAAATCGTTTCTATTCTGATCCTTCAAAATATTTTCATTCAAAGAGGGAACTCAAGAGTGTATTCTTCTAAAGTCCTGCAAGAAATTTACAAAGACATAGAGAAAGTGCTATCCATCAGCACAACTGGTCTTTATACAATTCTAGTGCCTTTGCATAGGCATTTGTAGCCCCCACCAAAATTGGGTCATTTTGGGACTTCACTAAAGACTCTATTCCAGGGACATGACAATGATTCAGAGAGGTTTTGTCTGTACTTACTTCACTTATAAAAACATATCGGTAAAATAATTCATTTATACCACCTAGTTGCAAAGGAAAACATACCAAAATGGGAAAATATGCTGAGGACAGCAATTGTATTCTCCGTGGAGGGAAAAGCACACCAGGTAAATTTGTGTTTAAAATAGCGAGCCAATTTTAATACTAACTTAAAATTAAGATAAGTGATTGTATGATAGAGTGTAACTCATTGAAAGTATTTTAAAACATAATTTAGAATAAAATGATTTAAATATATATAATACATTATTTATGGAAAATTATAAAATACTATATATTCTGCTAAATTGTTTAAATAATAAAAGACCGATTAGTTTGGACTCTATGCGCTTGTATGCAAAAACCCATTTCCAAAATTTATCTCCTAAAATTTTTCTCAGAGTAGTGAAAGGAGAAAAGCATGAACATTAAAAACAGACAGTCAAGAATTTAAAAACAAGTGCCACCACTTACTTATCTGCTACTTCAGACAATAACATGTAAACTATTTTAAATTTAATTAAGGTTGGTCATCCATAAAATGGTAATACTGTTGAAATTTTTGCATTGAAGTCATCATCAGGATAAAAGTGAGATGATATGAAATCATATGGCAACATCCCTCATTAAAGAATTATAAATAAAAGCTTTCATCATTTAACTAATCTATTAATGATGATAATGATGAAAAGAATGAAATTATAATACCAATAATGGTAATAATATCATTTCTAACATTTCTGAGGTATTACTCTATGACCTGCATTCTTCTAGGTACTTTACAATTGTAGATTACCTAATTTAGTTCCTAAGAAAACCCTTATGATATTGTATCTCCATTTTGTGTGTAAACAGATGTTAAGACACACAAAGGTTTAAAAAATTGCCTCATATTTACAAAATTAGAGTCAGAATTGGAAGAACTGTCTGACAATAGAATTTATGTCAATCTCCAACTCTGAAAAAGCAAGTGTACTATTAGCAGCACTGATTTAATTTAAAATTATGTATTTATTTGTCTTTTTATTTAGCTAGCATATTTTGGTGGGTGAGAGATGGCATGGACTCCAAGCAATCCATTTTTTTTCTAATTCCATGTCTCTAATTAAATGTTGCCCATTAAAAATGTCTATTATTCACTTTTTCTGCCTTCATACAGTATCATTATCTGCTCATTATTTAAAAATAATAATTTTCACATACTTGAATTTTCCTGCATATAGCTAATATTTGAAGAATTAGCATAAACCTAGATATATATTTTATATACATGCATATATGTACATTATATATATACACACACAAGTTCACACAGTATATATTATATATATATCTACATATATTTAATTCACATGAGTATTGTCACAAATGTTAAGCACATCCCCGTAGGTGAAACCATTAGTAAGCATTAGAGCCTGACCTAGAACCTATGTATTCATCATACTTCAAATACTGTGTATTTCTCAACAACCAAAAATGTTTGACTATTAAATCATCTAGAATTAATCTTCAATTTAGAAGTAACTAAAGTTAGTTTTTTTTACCAGATTCTGAATATTTTTCCTAAATATTCTAAAGTGTTTGTGGGAGTTTGGTTAAGTGAGTCGAAATGGTGATTTACATAAAAAATTCTTTTTTAATGAACAATTATATTACAGTTTAAATACTGTATGTGTTACTAAAAATTTTCACATGACACTAAATTTGCATACTGAAAAAATGGTTGGTGCAAAATTTCAGGTGATGCAGAGCAATCTGATTAAAGCTGCCATGGGTTTAAATTTTTAACTTTGTTGATAACTTGTATTATTACTGTGTTAAATAAAACCATTAAAAATTTACTGACATGTAATTGTACTTTGTTACATAGCAAGTCTGATATTTAAAACTAAATTATATTGAAAATCCATTAGGTTATATTTTTAAATAGTATATATATATACACACACACACTATATATATATACACTATTTATAGTGTGTATATGTGTGTATGTATATTTATATATATTTTTATATATTTTTATATATTTATATATGTATTTATATATATATTTATATATATATATATTTTTTTTAAGATGGAGTCTCACTCTTGTCTCCTAGGCTGGAGTTCAATGGCGCGATGTCAGCTCATTGCAATTTCTGACTCCCGTGTTCAAGCGACTCTCCTGCCTCAGCCTCCCGAGTAGCTGGGACTACATGCGCCTGCCAACATGCCCAACTAATTTTTGTATTTTTAGTAGAGATGGGGTTTCATCATGTTGGCCAGGCTCATCTCGAACTCCTTACCTCAGGTGATCCACCCATCTTGGCCACCCAAGGTTTTAGGATTACCACGACTGGCTGGTAGTTTATATTTTAATGTGAGGAAATAAAATGTAAGTTATATTTATAAGAGAAGCTGTACAATTATTTTGCATGCTTCATTGGATTCATAAATGCTACTCTGGGGAGAATAAATCTGGCATATTGAAAATATTTTATGTAGTATATTAATTTTTTCATACGGTTTTCCAATATATTTGAAAATTACTTGGCAAATTATCTTAATTTAGGGATAAAGCATATGTTTTAAATTTTAATTTTCTAGATGACAGGAAACATGTTGAAAGCATTTTACGTTTTATATAGTAGTTTATACTGACAAATCTGTGTACTTAAAAATTTTTTCTGAATATTTCAACAAAAGGCAATATTAACTACAAAAGAAAGAGAAATATATATATCCATATATTTTACATATATAGCTAGTATGTTTTGTTGGGTGGGAAGTGGTGTGAATTCCAAAATATATATATATTTGGAGGGGGGAATATATATATACTTATATGTATACATACATACACATATATACACATATGCACACATACACACATATACACATGCATACATAAACATATAGACATACACACATACACACATATATGTATACACACATACACATGCATTCATACATGTATTCATACACATACATGCATATGTGTATACATACACATATGCATGCATATATGCAAGTACACATATATACACATACACACGTAGACATACATACATATATGTATGCATGCATACACATGTGTGGATGTATGTGTACATGCATATACATGTACATGTATGTCTGTATGCATATGCATATGTGCATGCATGCACACACATATGTAAGCATACATATATGCATGTATGCACTTGCATATGTACATATATGCATGAATATGCATATGTGCGTATATTTATATGTGCATATGTATATGTGCATGTAAGCATGCATATACATTTGTACATGCATGCATGTATGCATATGCATATGTGCATATATTTATATGTGCATATGTATATGTGCATGTAAGCATGCATATACATTTGTACATGCATGCATGTATGCATATGCATATGTGCAAACATGTATGCAAGCATATACATATGTGCATATATGTATACATGCTTACACATATGTTTGGAGGGAAGTATATATATTTTAAAAGAAATATGTGTGTGTGTATATATGTATATATTTGGAAGCTCTGTCATTCAGGCTGCAGGGCAGTGGTGCAGACTTCACTACAGCATGGGACTCCTGGACTCAAGTGATCTCTAGCCTCAACCTTCTGAGTAGCTTGTAGTCAAGCAGCTTGCCTGTAGTCAAGCACCACCATCCCTCATTAATTTTTTTTTTAATTGTCTTTTTTAGAGATGGAGGTCTCATTTTGTAGCCCTAGCTGGTCTAGAATTCTGGTCTCAAGTAATCCCGCTGCCATGACCTCTCAAGTACTGGAATAGGCATGAGCTACATTGCTCAGTCAGGGAAATATATATTTGTTCAAAGAAATTGTTAATAAAGTATCTCAATGTTTTGTACATTTTATATAGATATAGATATATATTATATTAGTATTCTAATGATCATAATTATCTTAACATTAATGTTCCTTTGTGAAAAATTATACTTCATCTTTTTATCTATCAGACACAGCCAGTTCTGAAAGACGTAAATGAATAAAACATTCCAGGTTTTGTGTAACTCACAACCTAGCGAAAGAAGTAAATCTGTAAACACATAATTACAGAATGCTATGATTGCTGTTAGCACAGTGAGATTTATAGAGAATATTCTCTGAGAAAGGGTAAAGGGTAATATGTAAACTAAATCGTAATAACTATTAGGAGACCATCCGTGGAGAAAATTATAAAAAGAAAATTCATTCAAGAAGAAGAGTTTGTACAAATAAATGAACATCAAAGAAAAACAACCTATTAATGTAAAAGTTGAAAACTCAACTTGCTGCTTTTTATTTAGTGAGAATTTTTAATTAGTAGAAAATTTGAGGCTAGAACTATTCTAATGACTGTATACTGTACACACCAAAGTGATACAGATTTTAAGATTGTAATGGTTGGCCAGGCCCGGTGGCTCACGCCTGTAATCCCAACAATTTGGGAGGCCGAGGCTGGTGGATCACGAGGTCAGGAGATCGAGACCATCCTGGCTAACACGGTGAAACTCCGTCTCTACTAAAAATACAAAAAAATAGCTGGGCGTGGTGGCAGTCGCCTGTAGTCCCAGCTACTCGGGAGGACTTCGGAGGCTGAGGCAGGAGAATGGCGTGAACCCAGGAGGCGGAGCTTGCAGTGAGCCGAGATCGCGCCACTGCACTCCAGCCTGGGCGACAGAGTGAGATTCGTCTCAAAAAAAAAAAAAAAAAAAAAAAAGATTGTAATGGTCTTGGATAATACATGTTTTGAAAAGACACTCTTAGTAAAAACGAAGAACTGAAAATAGGGAGAAAACAGGAAATCAGTTGGAATAAAAAATCAATAATTACTTAATAAATATTTTCAACAACACTTGGTGACTAATGGATGCATTAGCTGACAGAAATATTAACCAATTCGTTTCTAAATTTGCTAGCTTAAAATCTCTGGATTAATTGACATGAATTAATCACAAAGCAATTCAGGAGAAAAAAAATTTATTTGAGGGATATTTGATTCTTGTCTGGAGGTGTTTATTTAGAAATTCCTGTTTGACAGACTACAAAATATGTTCAAATGGAAGTTGAAATTAAGTACTGAATTCAGAAGGGCAGCCTATAGAAAAAATAGACATTTGTAGGTAATTAACATTAGGCAGTGGTTGAAATCAAAGAAGAGAGGGGTTTTCCACAATGGGGAAGAATTCTGAAAGACACAATCATGAGGAAGAGTGATGATTTACTGGGTGTGCAGAAGAATAGTGAATTAAAGAAAGCAATGTAATCCAATGGGGAAAGTTTAAAATCAGATTTAAAATGTCAAATTCAGGATAAACCCAAAGAAAAAGAAGATTTCAAAGTATATCTCTTAAATACAGGAGGTGTCTGACTCCAAGCTAAAGTCTTATGTCTGATTTTTCAGGCTTTAACATAGGCAATTACAAACGCCTGTCCTGGCGTGCTTCATGGGGGAAGCTCCACACTCCATTTGGGCACACAGCTAGGACCTTAGAGTCTGTGAAGGAGTTGAGTAAGTACTTAGTCTCTCCATCCCTGCCATTCTCCGAAGTATATCTGTGTTGCTAGCCAAGATGCCTCCATTTGGCTAGTTTGACGCCTTCCTCAGTTACCTCTTCTGAGACCTCATTGTGGGAGAGGCAGGAGTGCTCTGAAGTCTTCTCCACTCTAACTCAGTGCTCAGTACATTTCCACTCCTACCCCCTTTCTCCTCTCCCTGCCCTACTGCCTGTGCAAGAAATGACAGGAGCCTTTGTTCAAGGTCCCCCTGTGGTGAGATGATTTCCCCGTCTGTGTTGATGCACTTTACTGAAACTCAGTATGTTTCCATGGTGTGGAGAGGGGCAGGGGGGAATGGAATATTGTGTCGGTAGTGACTTTCCGGCCTCTTATTCCCACTAATGTAGTTAGTAAGTAAAGCCTTAATTGCTACTTTAATTTTGGCATATTTTAATCAACCATCTTGACCGCTGGAAGCTGAACTCTCTCCAGTTTAGCGTTTGACAATAAATAGGTACAAGAGCAAAGGCCCAGCCTAAATGTGGGGTAGTGGCAAGCTCGGATGCTGGAGCTGATGGTTCCTTGTCTTGGAGACAGTGTGTTTGGAAGAAAATAAATTCAAAAGCTATAAAGTCACGATGGAGAAGTTTCAATCCAGTAAAAGCCAAGAGGTTGACACAGAATAAAGTTTCAATAGAGGTAGTTATTATTTCCTGCTCTATTAGGAGGGGCTTAATACGAACATAAAAGCTGTACATTAACATTTCTTTTGCCTTCCATAACCCTATAACTTTCTATAACAACAGATTTCAAAATGAATTATTTTGTAGATAATCTCCATCTAATGAAGAAGGAATGGTTTGCCAAGGCTTTTACTATATAGATTCCAAGTAAAATGTGTTTTATGTGAATAGGGCACTTTTTAATATTAATTTCATTTTCTAATATATGTCATCTCTACTGATTAGCTGTTATTGGTGCTACATTTCATTTTTCTGAAATAAAGATTGGTTCAAGGACAAAGAGAGTTTCTTATTCATTTTGGGCTCCCTAATGGCCAATTCATTGTCTGACACATCAGAAGTGATCAATACAGTATCACCGAATGAAGCCATTCTGTTGCTTTTTACAAAAATGGCAATAAAGAAACAACAAAAACAAAAACACTTTCAGAGGTAACACAGAATCATGTACCAATGATAATACAGACAATAGTGATGATGTTCACAAGAGTAATTAATTATCTTTAGGCACTTTAAGTCCTAGGTTATATAACTTCTGGAAGCAAATCCAACAAATAGATAAACAGAGCCTGTATTTGATACCCTAAATTCAGCTTTTCTTTAAGGAGATATATTCTTTTCTATACAATTTTATATGCTTGGCTCTCTCTCTCTCTCTCTCGCTCTCTCTTCTCTTAGAATCTGAATTGTATATCAAAATCTATAACTTGGAAGCAAAAGTAAATAAGCACTGGTTACTACAATTTTCCAAATAGGTAAGAGTGACTAATTTACTCATTTTATAAGTAATACATTGGGTATATAAATACAGAGATTGTTACTTTATTTTTTTATTTTTGAAGATTAATTTTTTTTAATTTTTATTTTACTTTAAGTTCTGGGATACATGTGCAGAACATGCAGGTTTGTTAGATAGATATACATGCGTCATGGTGGTTTGCTCCACCCCAGAGATTGTTCCTTTAAAAAGATCTTGAAAATAATGAAGAACAGAGATAATAATTCATATATAGTATCCTGACACTCAACATGACTTTTAAAATCATTTTATTAATATTAAGGCTTTTGTGTTGCTAATTTACAATCAAAGTATCTTCTATTAAAAATGGCTTCTAAAGTTTAAGAAAATTTCTATATTTGTTTTGTTTAATTTGCAACCAGAATATCATGTTAAGTCCTGAAGAACTGACATTTTGGTAAGAATATTTGTGCTTAAAACAGAAAATAAATATTCCTGTTGAGATGACAACCTCAAGGTAGACCTCAACTTAATGGCTCTGTATGCCTTCCCAACTTTTACTTCCAATTAAAATGACAAATGAAATATAAAAAATAGAGAGGAAGCCAAAACAATATTTAAAATTAGGGAGAATTTGCTCACTATATTAGGAACATCAAGAAATTATTGTAATTATTTGTTATGTAGGGTGCAAAGGGACATATTCAAATAATAACAAATCTGTGACTCACTCTCTATCTGGAAAGCATGCCAGATCAGATCCCGGCAGAATGCCATTTGTATTTAATAAGATGAACCATGGGCAACTTGGAGTGAATTTTCAACCTTGGCAATACCACTGGGGAAGCATTCTTCTTTCTTTAAGCCAAAATAAGAAGAGTGTATTTGGCAAGGTTTATTCTTGGCTTAGACTTGGAGCCCGCTTAGAACAGAAGGCTCTGCCAGGCAAAATCAGGGGGTATGCTGTGGTTGGCTCTTAAGGAAGTCATCTATTCCAGGCAATCACCAGGCACCCTGTGGAGGCCAACTCCTGGCTGCCTCACCAAGCACTGAAAAGACACACTTAGACAGAAGGCAAACTGCCTGCTGTGACTGACTCTACTTCTATTTTCAGCTCCTCCTTTCTCTGCTCACCCAGTTTATCACAACATCTCTTTTGTGGTGTGGTAAAAATCTATAAAGTATATATAAAAATTTCTTTTCTCGCCTCTATTTTCTCACAGATTTGGACTAAAACCCATAACAATCTCTAACAACACCAACTTCAATTTGAATTTGCTATCAACCCTTATCAGAAAAGCATAGTCATTCTTCAAGTGTGAGCTAAGACAAATATTTTCCTCAGTATGAATAAATAGTATTGTTCCAAGAAAAGGGACTACATTTTAGAGAAATTTAAATTTATATTTTTAAGAGATGGATTTTTTTTTCAAAGCCATAAAAATTTCATTGAGGGGAAAGATCCACATAGTGAATTGGAAACTGCAATATGGCCGGGTGTGGTGTGTCACGCCTGTAAATCCCAGCACTTTGGGAGACTAAGGTGGGCAGATCACAAGGTCAAGAAACAGAGACCATCCTGGACAACATGGTGAAACCCTGTCTCTACTAAAAATACAAAAAAAAAAAAAAATAGCTGGGCATGGTGGCGTGCACCTGTAGTCCCAGCTACACTCAAGAGGCTGAGGCAGGAGAATCGCTTGAACCCAGGAGGCAGAGGTTGCAGTGAGCTGAGATCGCACCACTGCACTCCAGCCTGGGCAACAGAGCGGGACTCATCTCAAAAATAAATAAATAAATAAATAAAAATAAAGAAAGAAAGAAAGACACTGCAATATACAGTCAGCAATTGTTTCGTTGCAAAAAACTAAAGTGATAAAGTAGAAAATAAATGCAGGAAACTTCCCTGACCCTGGAATTCAGATAATGTTAGTGAATATATGAAAATAATAAAATAAAAAACATGATAGATGGACTGAGATTATTCTATTCATATATGGTAGTATCCCCTAACTAAGGGCGTTGGGAAAGAGAGAATACAAAATATTCAAATACAATATAATGATTTTCATTATGAAAAACTAAATGACAAAATTTTAAAAACTTATTACACTTGAACATATTATAACTTTATCTATTTAATATTTTCTATATATAAAAATCAATATACTAATATATTCTATGTAGAAAATATAAAGCAATTAAGTAAGGAATAAAACTTAGTCATGTACAAATGACTCTCTGCACACTAAATGCCAACAAACAGTAATACAACAATGTAGTTTTACTTAAAAAAATTACAAAATCAGAATATCATATCCATCTAGTTGGTGGTTCAAGTTAGTAAGGAGCCACTTATAGGCATAATATAGCTGATGTGGATAAAAATAAAGCATGTGAAGCTCATTATAATAATTAATTAAATAATAAATTTTGAATATTAGTTATTGCATGGAAAACTATTCTGATCAATTGATTTTTTTTAATTTAGAAAATTAAGGAAACTAAAAAGAGATATATGTATTGAGGTATAAAATTGTACTGACATGTGACACTAATTTGTTCATTTTACATTTATGACAGTCCATACAAGTTAATATATGAAGATAACTATATAAATTATGTTAGATATGTTTGTAAAAACAAAAATTAGCATTAAAAATAAACAGGCTATATGACTGTCAAAGTAAGAAAGAGGAGGAGAAGAAAGGATCATATTCACCTTATCTATTGGTGCATAACAGAATTAATGATGTAAATCAGCAATTTATTATTATTTTCCACGATTATTATTTATTCTTCTTTCCCACCATTGTGTGAGCCTGAAAGACCTGAGAGGCTGTGCAAGGATGGCTCATCCATGTCTGTGGCCACAGATGGGAGGTCTTAAATGTCTGGGAGCTTGAACAGCTGGGATTGGACCAGGCACTCCTCTCCCTCTCTCTCTGTCTAAAGGCTTCTCCTCCTGCCTCCGTTAGACTATAAACATCTTGGCATTTTCAGGGTGTTCAGACTTCCGATGTGGCAGCTCTGGGATGTGAGAACAAGGCAGTGGGAATTACTAATCTTTATAAAGGCTAAGCCAAGAACTTCACTTCACCACACTCTAGCGGTTACAGCAGTCACAAAGACTCTGTCTCTCTCTGAATGCAAGGAGTGTCATCTTTGCTATTTAATCTGACACAAGCCTAACAGAATTAAGACCTAGTCCAGGAGGGGCTGATACTTTATTTTAATGCCTCACTTTACTCATCTGTAAAATAGAGTTATTAATACATGTTATGTAATAGAATTGTGAAGATTAAAAGTTTATGGAATACAGGAAAAGTCAAAAATTTTCAGGTATAAATTTAAAAGCATTAGAATTTTAATTTTGCATTTTATTGACAATTCAATTAAGCAACATTATTTTTCTTTCCTCTCAATCTGCTTCTGAACATGCTCTCTCTCGTTCTCTTTCTCTCTGTCTCAGTCTGTCTGTCTCTTAACACACACAACACACCCACATGCATAAAATTTCTAATCTTGATCAAATTCTAGGACAGACACATGCACACACGCAAATGTCAGCACATTCTAGAGCAAAATAATATAATAGATAATTATCATTTAAAAATGCAAAGAAAAATTAAAATTACATTTAAATTAATAAAATCACATTAACAGATTTTAGAAGAGCTTAAGCTATTTTGGAAATTTATAAATAAGTTAAAAGAAATATTAAATCTTAACTCTAAATAAAAGAGTTTTTTTAGAGTTATTATTTTAGAGTTATTATTTTAATAATAATATTTTAATAAGTTAAAATAAATATTAAATCTTTAAATAAAAGAGGTTTTTTTTAGAGTTATTATTTTGGAGTTATTTCTAAATAAACTAAATAAAAAATCTTAACTCTAAATAAAATATTAAATCTTAACTAAATTTCAATGAAAGATGCTTTGATAATAAATATAATACATTTAGTAAACTACACGTAAAAATGTATTAGGAAAAGTAAAAGCTCTGTTGGCAGTAAATGTATCACATTAAATCCTATTGTTGTCCAGAAAGAAAGAGAAAAATAATTAAAATTTCAGCTTACTAAGATATGAAACAAACAGCAATGTTAATATTGAAGAATATTCAGATAAGCAGTTAATAAAAATAAATGTATGTTCCATGGTTTGGAAAATGGCAGGAATAAAAAATACACAAGTGGATCTATTTATTTTAATAGGCATGCTTTTTAAAGGCCCTTGGAAAATCTAACAAGGGGAATAATAAATAACATTATAAATGTGACTGAATATAAGTCACATTCAGAGATGAAGAATGAAAAATATTAAGCAAATAATTTTAGTATGTTATGCTATCAAATTTGAAAACATAATGAAATAGATTTTTTGTTATAGAAAAAATGTGAAATTCCAGCATTATTTTGCAGAAGTTCTGAGTAGAATATAATTGAAAAAAATTGTCTAAAATAGAAATATAATGAAAAATAGAAGTTTCAAAATTATTTAAATTCCAGTCAGTTTTATATCTGAGTTCCAAGAACAGATAATTCTATGTTTTAAACAATACCAGAACACGGAAACTGATGGAAGATTTTTGATTGTCTTATAAATCTGTGAAAAGATGAAATTTAAGGCCTAACACTTTAGAAATAAATTCTTATAGTATAGTACAAACATAAAAGTAAAATTTAGAAAATTAAAATCAGTACTGCATTATAATAATGTTAAATAATATTGCATAACATTAAAGAAATAGTAAAAAGTATAAAACATCTTAATAATTTGTTACTGGTATTTATAATTTCTCCAGATGTGAAGAACTTAAACATTAATATTAAATTAATTCACCAAAAAGGGCTTGTAAATACAATAGCTTTACTTCCTGTAACATTTGTCTCTATTAATCATTAGCAGACACTGAATACTGTCCAAAACTACTTTGTTTGTCGATCTAATAAGAGAAATTTATTATGTGTTGCATTTCCAAACTGAGTCTTCCAGTTGGCTTACAGGTGAGGAGTTGTCTGCTACCGAATTCTCCACTGAAAACACATTCATCATTAATAACAGAGCTTTTAATTTCCAGTAGTTGGTAGCAAATAAAAAAATGTGGTGTCAGAGCAATATTTCCATGAGTTTCATTTTTATGCTTTTTATCATTTGCATTAAAATGATATATTTGCAAAATACAAAGTAATTCTAATAATTGGCACAGTTCCACATGAAATAATTATACAAGTCAGATTCAATGTGAAATAAAACGTAATCTGGAAATATTGACCCCTGCAAGATAAAGGCAATTAATTCCTATGGGGAAAGCATGCAGGTGGCCATTGTGATAAATCTGCTTGTGATATGAAAAGGAATTTGAAAGTCTGAGGTGATGCCTATAGAAAAGGTTATAAGTCATAATTTATGTTTTTATAACAAGGCTAGCACTAGTGTCCAACTTTAATAATTTTATTCATATGTCTTGACTAGTTCTGCCTTTTTTTCTGACATTTGTTGTTATTTATGAGAGAAGGTGATGAAAGCTATTCCAAAGATTATTATTTCAGAATTGTGCATTTATTATTCATGGACTGATTTGCCTATACATTGCAATGATAATTTATGTCAGTATGCAGTGAGGAAATAAAATACAGAATTGCACTGGCTTTGGAATGTCTATTCTCGACCTTTTCTTGGACAATGTCCAAGTTCATCAGCAATAAAATGTTGGTAGAGAAGAAAATTATAGTGATTCATGCTGAAATACAGTATCTGTATAATGTTATACATCAGTAAGCAAAATACCTTAAGAAATTCTAAATGTATTTCTGACTCTGCTTTCAAGTGTACATTATAAATGACTCTCTTTGCAATGCCATTCAAATAATCCACCTACTGTTATTCATAAGCCATAATCCATGGCTAATGAATAACAATAAAACATAAGAATTGCGTATTATTTATTGGGCGTAAGATGAGAAATTTCATCTGATAGTCCTCCAATCTATCGGTACTAAGAAACAAGATACAATGACACTAGAAGAAAGCATGAAATATCTATTTGACTTCAATAAACTTACCGAGTTATATTGTAGTATATTTCAATATAACACGAAAACATAGATGAAGAAAATTGGACTTAGTACAAATATATGGCAGGGTCTCTTCTTAATGCATGTTTTCAATCTCCTCAGTGACTTAATTGATGAAGTGATAGAAGATAGCCAAAAAACAAAGTATGCATATCATTTCTCTAAATTACTGTAGCATTAATTATTCATTCCAATTATTTGACATTTATCAGTTATTGCCTTTATCTCTTAGATATGATAAATAAATAATAATTGGTAAATAAAAAGATTGATGTCTGCTTTTTATCTAGATTACAATATTCCTGATAGCGGAAACTTTGTAGGCTAGGAGCACTATTAATGTTCATATATACATCATAAAGTGAGCAGTTGATGGTAATGGAGCTATATTGCAGAGTAAGGATCAGTGTATAATAACACAAAATTGGTATCTGGTATATGGGAAGAAGTAATTGAAAATATAAGAATTCATGCTGTAAGAATCTAATTCCTTGACAGAAAAATAAATGGAAAACTATATTTGAAGATTTTCAGTACTGTTCTTAGGTGTATTAGGATTAGATTAGGAGAATGCTAGAATAAAAGTACTTTAGATGTGTGTGTGTATATATATATTTATGTTTTATAATTTTAATTATATATTTATAATATTACATATTTTAGGTTGTATATTTAATCAATATACAATTAAAATCTAAACAACATATAAGATGAATATCTCTTATGTACAAGGGATTCTAATAAACAGAATCTATGATAATTTTCCATTCCCTTTTATTATCTAGGATTTACAAAACTATGGGTGGATAAGAATTACACTTAGGAAGATAGAAGTAATAATGAAAGATGTCAATAGCAGTCTGTGTTAGGCAAAATTATGAAATGGTCCCTGAATTCCCACTCTGTTGTACATACTCTGTGTTAATTTTTCCCCTTGAATATGGGCTACTTCTGTGGCTATGATAGGATATGCCTCTCATGATTTGGGTACTTCTCAGTGGACTCTGAATTAAAGAGAGATTATCGTGGGTGACCTAATCATAACAGCCCTGAAAAGAAGATGAAAAGGCAGAGAGATACACTCCTGGCCTGAAAAATAAGCAAATATCCACACTGTGAACTGTCTACGGAGGCCATGTGGCAAGGAATGCCATGCTCTGTAGTAGCTGAAAGTGTTCCTTAACTTACAACTAGCAGAAAATGAGGACCTCAATCCTACAGCACACAGAAATATACTCTGCCAATAGCTGAGTGTTTGGAAGAGGACCCTGAGCCTCAGATGAGTTCACAGACTGGTCTGCATCTTGATTGCAGCTTCTGAGACCCTATATGGAGAACTCAGTAAACCTGTGCCCAGAGTTCTCACTTATGGAAATGATGAAAGAATAGATTTCTCTTATTTCAAGACACTAAGTTTGTGGTAATTTGTTACACAATAGAAAATGAATACAGAGTCCTTGATAACTATTAAAAGCCTCAGACAGATGGCACAAAATAATTGTTACAGACATGAAGAAAAGGGAAAGGTCTCTTGTAGTTACAGTAATAAGCAAAGAGAAGAGAAGAGAAGAGATCGTTTGGGACAGAAGACCCAAAATGACATTTCATGGGAATGATAAGAAATTTCTTCTTCTTATCTGCAATTTGCTGGCTTATAGGGGGTAGTAAGAATGACATTTGTAGCTCTGAGTTCAGGCCAATACTTCAAATTGTCCTCAGATTAATACATAAAAGGAATAAAAATTGAGGAGAAAGTGGATGAGTGTCTGAAGCTTGGGCAGCAGTTGGTTTGCCTAAGAAGTGACTGGAAAATATTCTGAGTATGTGAAAAAAAGTGGAGATTAGAAAAATCTTTCTTAGGTTATATCCATTTGAAAAAAAATAATAAAGCAGAGAAAAAAAGAAGATAGAGGAGAGGAACTCAAGGAGAAGGGAAAGTAGAAGAACAAAAAAAAACAACAAAAAGTTATTTGCTATTAAATATGTAATTTTATGGCTAGCTTAATATTGAATTATTGCAATATGTAGTATCAAATTAACCTTGGAAAGTCATGAGTGTTACAAAAATTTGCTGGGTTCTTAAGAAAAGCAATGTATTAGCCTTACGCTTTTGTAATGTTTTACAATTTGCAGATAATATATATGACTTCATTTTGATCACCACATTCACACTGAGAGGTCATACATGTAATTTTATTATCAATTTACAACCTTGAGTATGGGGCTTACAGAACCTAATAGGTACAGACAGTTTTTGAAAATTATAATCTCAGTTTCAGTCATAAATTAACAAACATTTTATTTCATTTTCTGGCATTAACTAAACAAAGAATCAAGGAAGAAAATCCATTTAGTGTGAGAAATAATTACTTCATTTTTAAAGTATTGAGTTTGAGGAAGAAACCACAGCAAGTCATAGAATTTATTTTTTCTGGATAAAATTCCATGAGTTTTTTAAATGTTATAGCCTGTTACAATTTTAAACATACTGTTTCACATTTACAGTGCAAATGAAGATTTTCAATGAATTAGAACTAAAATAATGAACTGGTAAAATAGAGCATTTGACCAGTAAACTTACCTGCACATAATGTTTATAAGAAATCTTTATTGTTTTTGAACTTAAGCTGTGATTGAAACTGATAAAACCAAATAATGTTTGTATTATTCATAATCCTTTATTTAATATTAGAATATATTCTTGAAAGTAAGGCAGTGACAGGCTTTTTGTTGAGGATTATGGAACTGAAGAAAACACTGTATCAGGAATACAATTAGGAAAGTTATCTTGTTGACTGTATTCCTCTTGACCCTGTCAAGGTTATTCTCTTCTGACGCATTATCAGCCATAACAATGAATTTTTGCTTGAAACAATTGTAAATCTTGCTGCTAGGATGGTGAAAATATTTTTTTGAAGTCCCCAAAGTGGTGTAACATGGAGCAATACTGATTTTTAAATCCTTACAATACTTGAAGGGGATTGGGCTTAGCCGAGTAGTCAATTTTTCTACAGAAACGGGGTCAAAGTAAGGAGTTGACTACGCTGGGCTGAAAGATGCAAGGTAGCTCACCCACAGTTGTGCTGTCTGGGAAGTCTGGGGTGAACAGGAATCCTGGGATGGCTGGGACTTCATGGATTTTCCAGGTCAAGTCCTCTCCCTGTGACCTTTCCATGTGTTTTATCCAGGGTGGCCAGTCTTCTTACATCATAGCTCGACACCCAAAACTGCAAAACCAGAGTTGCTAGGTCTCTTCCAGGCTATGTCCCAGAACTGGAGAACATCACCTGGTCACTAAAACAGCCAAAAACACTTAGCACAATCCCAGGGAAATGTAATCGGGCTCTGGGCCTTCTTGTGAGAGCAGAAAGACAAAACTTTTACCAAATTAAAGGAATAGCATTAAAAGGAGTCTTTACAATTTCCCTATCACTATAACAAATGTTAAGACTCAGGCTTAAAGTTTGGTGTTCTGCCCAGAAATTGTCTAGAGATGTGGGTTTCCTCATGATTCAATTTCTTTGAAAATATTGTGTATACCTGTTTTCAAGGTGGGTGGTGGAGTATAAGTTCTCAAATCCTGGTTGGATCATTTGGGTTCTAAACCAAGAGCAACTCATGTGGTGAGGAGCCATCAAGGGAACTGGTAAATCATGTATGTTCAGATATATAATTTATTCCTTAAATAAGATTAGGACTGCATGCATAAACATATTAGGTCAGTCTGCTGTAATGAAATAGCATAGGCTGAGTGGCTTGAACAAAAGAAATTTATGTCTCACAGTTCTAGAGACTGGAATTCCAACATGAAGGTAACAACACAGTGTCTGGAAATGGTTCTCTCCATTCCTCATTGCATGTGGGGAGAAAGACGAAGCTCTCTGGTCTCATTTTATAAGGTCACTAATCCTATTATGAGAAGCCCACATCAGGACCTCATTTAAATATAATTATTTCCTAAAAGTCCCATTATTGGTCAGTATGTGATCAGTATCATCAAATGGTTAAAATAAATGTATATGTATATGGTGTAAATGAGGAAATCTATCCAAGGGAGGCTGAGTTGAATATAATAGGATAAAACATAATACCTTATTTTATATGGCTTATATATTAAAAGCATTGTTTCTAAAGGTCAGTTTTAATAAATTGGAAAGTGCTAGTTTTTTCAACACTGTAGAAATAAACTGAATCTAAGGAAATAAAGGTAAATTTTTGTGTAATATCAATCAAATCTATATAATTGAGATTTTATTTCAGACCATAGAAACACAACCTCAATAGTTTTTGCCAAACAATGTATTCAACAACTGATTGGTTGTTTATTGCTTTCTATGATGAATTGTATTTCTCAACTTGGCTAGACCATAGTGCTCAGTTGCTTGGTAAAACACTAATCTAGATGTTGGTGTGAAGGTATTTTTTTGGATATGATTAACATTAAAGTCAGTAGGCCTTGAGTAAAACAGATTACCCTCCGTAATGCGAGGGAGCCTCATCCATTCCCTTAAAGGCAGTAAGAGAAAAGACTGATGCTTTAGAGTTCAGCCTCCTAACTGCAATATTAAAAGAAAAAAAAATTGCCTGAGTTTACAGCCTATTCGTGAATTTTGCATGCAAGATGCAACATCAAGTCTTACCTGAATTTCCAGCCTGCCAGCTTGCCCTATGGATTTCAGACACGCCAGCCCTGACAGTCACCTGTGCCAATCCCTTAAAATAAATATCTCTATATATGGATGTATTTATTCTATTGGTTCTGCACATTATTTTTGAGTCACGACTAATTCAGTGTTATTTCTATTTTCTCATTAAACAAAGTCACTGAAGAAAAATAAAATTTTTATATTTTTTTATTTACCAGTAAAATGTATACCTTCGTTAATTCAGTATAAAATAGAGCTGCTACAAATTTGTATAAATGTTAATTGGCTTGTTGAATTGGTAAATAAATGAATTAATTAAAAATTGTATGTCAACTTATGTGTTTTACATTTCTACAGCACTTAGAAAAATGCTAGTATATAGCTATTCATTAAATACTTTAACTTGGCTTGAAAAAAGAAATGGAGTTCTGTTAGACAAGCCACTTTTTGTTTATCCAAGGAGTTTTTAGCACATAAAAACAAATTAACTTTTCTTATTTATTGCAATAAGCATAACTTTTCACTTATATTTTACCGAGCTTTACTAAGCATTAGGCACTAGGGTTAAGTGCTTTCGATTCCATTAGCAAAAATTCTCATATTCAACTATGAAAATTATGTTCATTATTCCCACTTCACAGCTGAGCAAAATGAAAGTTAAATGATTTTCCAAGCTCCAAGTTTAGACATGTAGTAAGTGCACACTTTTATTTATTTATTTATTTGTTGTTTATTTATTTGTTTATTTATTTATTTTAGTCCAAAGCCTAAATTCTTTTAAATTCTTTTAAACACTGTATTTTGGTGTGGACATTTTATATAAATAAAGTATTGTTGGCATTTTGCCAAGTGGCTCTGACACCTGACGATTTTGAAACTAAGGGTGTTCTCTGTCTTTCAGGCTCTATTTGCTGCTTCTTTTTGCTTCCCTCTATGAGTCAGCTACACTATTCTCTCTACCATCTTTTTCTCTTTGTATATTCATGTAATCATTACACACATACATACGGTCTTCTCAGGATATTAGGACTTCTTTCTACGTAAATTATAGGATCTCAATTAAAACAAGACTAGGGGAAAAATGTACTGGTTTATATAATACATGAGACAAATAGAGGGTCACCTGGGTTTATGGGGCAATTAAAGTCAAGTTCTCAAAGGCTGTCAGAGTGTTCTCTCTTCACATTTGCCTCGGTTTCTCTTCTTGGCTCATTCTCTTATGCTGCAGAACATTCTCCCATGGCAGGAGAATGGCCACTGACAGCTACAAAAGCTCACATCTCCATCACTGGCAAGGAATTGAGAGACTTTCTCTCTCTTTGACTTCAAATAAAATAATATCTCATCAGTGTTTCTGATCAATTGACTTTTTGTTTCATGCACACACCCATAATCAATTAATAACCATAAGGAAACTGTAATCTAAAATATATTGCCCCTACTTAAAGTACATAGGTTCTTCTTAGAGGAATATGGAAATATTCTACTAATTGAGAAAAAAATAGATGAACACTCTACTCATTTTTAACATGGCCTAACTTGTTACCTCAGGCTGACTTCTCATGACTGTTGAAACACATACCAAAATGTGCCAGTGTTATGGAGGTTAAAGAATAAAAATTTCTTTCTCATTATGTCTTACTTATTTTAGTGATAAATTATGAACCAAATTTCCACTATGGAATCCCCGCGTGGCCTCACATTTGCTCTTCATCTGGACTGGTTCACAAAGTACTACAGATTTTATTTTAATAAGTGCCTATGCCATCATGTGCTATAGACTGCCAGCTTCTGACAAATTGATGTAATATATGAAGGTATACATCAAATAATACATTTTGAGTAAATAACCTAAAAATTATATTGGACTCCTTTTTTAAAAAAAAGTTTCCATAAAGACATATATGGGAAAAAGATAAAGTAATATGTAGAATAAAAGCTTTACAAAGAGTGAAAATTATGTTGCTATATATAAAGGTATTTGATGATCCACTTTAATCCAATTACATACTGTGCTATGTAGAGAATAGCATGGACTACACATGCAGCCAATCCTCCACAGAAATCTACCTCTTCCCAACAAAGATTTGATAATTAACACAGATTTGATATTGTCTTTGAAGAAGCTGGATTGCAGAGTTATTTTTTTAACGCCCACTGTATATCCATACTTTTTAGGAAATGTTTATGAGGTGATGGAGTTGATATCATCTACAGATACATTGTGAATAAATGATCTTATTAGAAGTGTTCACATTTTGCTCATAATTAAGGCTTCAAATTACCACTCCCAAAATATGGCTGTAGGAACTACAATCAAAAATATTATGAAATCGGCAGGGCGCGGTGGCTCACGGATGTAATCACAGCACTTTGGGAGGCCGAGATGGGCGGATCACGAGGTCAGGAGATTTGAGACCATCCTGGCTAACTCAGTGAAAACCCGTCTCTACTAAAAATACAAAAAATTAGCCAGGCGTGGTGGCGGGCGCCTGTAGTCCCAGCTACTCGGGAGGCTAAGGCAGGAGAATGGTGTGAACCTGGAAGGTGGAGCTTGGAGTGAGCCTAGATCGCGCCACTGCACTCTAGCCTGGGCCAGAGAACAAGACTCCGTCTCAAAAAAAAAAAAAAAAAAAAAAAAAAGTATGAAATCAGATTTTCTCGTTTCCTAAAAGAGTTTTACTATAAGCTGTAATAATGAGATCAGAAAATAAATAAAATCTCTACTATATGTAATCTAATTCCTCCTGCATCATACAAGATGAACTAGGTGTAATATATGTCAATATATCTTTGTAATATAGGCTGTAATATATTTTTAAAGAAATCAAATTGGTTTTGGAGTTCACTATCAAAGTGGAGTTTTTCTTTAACATCTAATAAGATAGAAGGACTAGATACTACTGAACCTATGTCTAGTTGAGAACAATAAAAACCATATATTATACAGAATACTTACCTTTTATACAATTTTATATATTTTATGATGCAATTAAATAAACACAGCTATCTACAACAAACTATAAATGAGCTATAGACATTATTAAGAAGTTTTACACGTTTAGTCCTTCTTGAAAATATCTATCCAGTTATGGCTGAATACAGCATCATTATTGTGTGCCTGTCTGTATTGTTTTGATATTTTCCAAATTATTTTCCTATTAATTGTATGTTTTATTATATTCTTACTTCTTTTAAGTTTGGGAAAAATGACCTTTTAACAGAAGCTTATTTATTATCAGATTATGCTTTATTCACCAATTCAAAATTATCTTAAAAGTTTCAAGTAGGTTATCAGTGATTAAATGGTTTAGAAGGTGTATCTTCCCTCCAGTACACTCTGCAAACAGAAGAGCTGGTTTTCTACATTGCTTTTAAACTCATTTATGATTTTTCTTTCTTTGTTTCTTGCTCTGGGATAATTCTATAATATAAGTACTTTTTAATAATAAAAGTAACTTCCTGATAGAGCAGAAAATGACTTAGCAGTAGGCTTCAGATATAAAAATAAATGCCCTCTTGTTAGTACTTCAGAGGAAATGGGATCAACCTCTGAATCCTGAAGTAGTTAAAAAAAAAGTATCAAAAAGGGGTATTGATTAAGTTGAGGCTTGAGGAAGGGCAAGTGCTAAGGTTTTAGATGAATAAACAAAAACCTTGAAAAGAAATGGTCCGAATGAGAGATAAAAGAGGAAATCTCATTTGAGGAATGGCAAATTGGTTTATATGATTAGACATACATATGTGTGTGTTGTGTACAGCAGCTACAGCTGGAGAAAAACATAAGATAAATATTCTCAGCTAACAGAAAAATCTAAAGAGGTAGAGGCACAGCAAAGCCATGCAATTTAGTAAGAAATTAATGTATAAAAAAATACCATCCTTTGGATATATATGTGTATGTGTGTATATATATATGGAGATATATATATATGGAGATATATATATATGGAGATATATATATATGGAGATATATATATATGGAGATATATATATATGGAGATATATATATATGGAGATATATATATATGGAGATATATATATATGGAGAGATATATATGGATATATATATATATGGAGAGATATATATAGAGATATATATATGGAGAGATATATATGGAGATATATATATGCAGATATATATATGGAGATATATATATGCAGATATATATATGGAGATATATATATGCAGATATATATATGGAGATATATATATGGAGATATATATATATGGAGTATATGTATGGAGATATATATATATGGAGATATATATATGTGTATATATATATGTGTGTGTGTGTGTATATATATATATATATACACCCAGTTATGGGATTGTTGGGTCAAATGGATTATAAGTCATTCTACTATAAAGACACATGCACACGTATGTTTATTGCAGCACTATTCACAATAGCAAGACTTGGAACCAACCCTAATGCCCATCAATAATAGAATGGATAAAGAAAATGCGGCATGTATACATAGAATACTATGCAGCCATAAAAAAGAATGAGTCCATGTCCTTTGCAGGGACATGGATGAAGCTGGAAACTATCATTCTCAGCAAACTAACACAGGAACAGAAAACCAAACACCACCTGCTCTTACTCATAAGTGGGAGTTGGACAATGACAACACATGGACACAATGAGGGCAACATCACACACTGGGGCCTCTTGGGGGGTGGGGGCCAAGGGGAGGGATAGCATTAGGAGAAATATCTAATGTGGATGACAGGCCAACAAGTGCAGTAAATGACTATGGCACGTGTATACCTATGTAACAAACCTGCATGTTCTGCACATGTATCCCAAAACTTAAAGTATAATTTAAAAAAAGAAATCACTGCAAATCAAAACCACAATTAGACACCATCTCACACCAGTTAGAATGGCAATCATTAAAAAGTCAGGAAACAACAGGTGCTGGAGAGGATGTGGAGAAATAGGAACACTTTTACACTGTTGCTGGGACTGTAAACTAGTTCAACCATTGTGGAAGTCAGTGTAGCAATTCCTTAGGGATCTAGAACTAGAAATACCATTTGACCCAGCCATCCCATTACTGGGTATATACCCAAAGGATTATAAATCATGCTGTTATAAAGACACATGCACATATATGTTTATTGCAGCACTATTTGCAATAGCAAAGACTTGGAACCAACCCAAATGTCCAACAACAATAGACTGGATTAAGAAAATGTGGCACATGTGCACCATGGAATACTATGCAGCCATAAAAAATGATGAGTTCATGTCCTTTCTAGGGACATGGATGAAGCTGGAAACCATCATTCTCAGCAAACTATCGCAAGGATGAAAAACCAAACACCGCATGTTCTCATTGATAGGTGGGAATTGAACAATGAGAACATTGGACACAGGGTGGGGAACATCACACACCAGGGCCTGTGGTGGGGTGGGGGGAGGGGGAGGGATAGCATTAGGAGATATACCTAATGTTAAATGACGAGTTAATGGGTGCAGCACACCAACATGGCACATGTATACATATGTAACTAACCTGCACGTTGTGCACATGTACCCTAAAACTTAAAGTATAATAAATAAATTAAAAAAAAGAAATCACTGTACAATATCCTTGAGCATTTTCAACATGTCTTCTGAACAGGAACAAATCCAAATTATTGTATTTGTAGAAGATAATATTTTCCGGATGTGCTACATTTAGATTTCTTACATCCTGTGCTTAATATTATAATAAAACCTCTGAGCAACGAGTTCAGAATCTTCAATGTGTTTGTTTCTGACAGATGATGCTCAGCCTCATGATAACTGTTGAGGCACTAAAGTGTAAGTCAGCTAAGTTTCCAGTAAAATGTGCAGAAGAGTGCAGATTTAAAATTAAAATTACAGCATTATAAAACCCCTAAAATCAATATGGTATTTCTATATTATATCATAGAATGGCATTATAATGTTCATCTAAAAATATGTTTAATAAAGATATTATAAAAAGAAAGCAAAAGAACAACAATTTGAAAGTATGTACACTTAATCTTAAAGTGTTCATAATCACCAACACTATTCTAATCACTGTTCATATATCATTTGATTTAATATTTTCAAACATTTTTGGAATATAGTATTGCAATGCGATTTTTCACATGAGAACACTGAAGCACAGACAGTATATTGATTCTACCAAACATCACATGGCTAACAACTTATGGCTCGAGATTTGGCCCTAAACTGTAGTCTTAAAGAGCCTACATATTTCATCTCTCTGCTCTACTTTCTTCATGCATTATATTCACATACCCAATTTATAAGAAATTGCTTTTCAGAAGAATAATTTTACTCATTTTTAAATTAACCAGAAACAGGGACAGTATGTCCATGGTAGTTTAGAAATAAATTCTACCATAAACTTTCTTTGTTATTTTCTCATTTTTCAAACTATTACTCTTTCCTCTATTTATCCTTTGTTGCTTATGACTCAGAAATTCAGTGTAAACAAGTGTCAATTCCAATAGCTAGATACATATCTGGCCCTTTAAGAAATCTAGGAATAAAAGCTTCAAATCCGTAATCAATTACCAATAACATACTTAGTTTTCAAAGGACGTATCAAATTTCACCTGCAGATTAAAAAGACAGGTCTTGATTTGCTTAGTACAAGGATAGCTGCAATTTCTTATCGTTTGAGATTATATCCTATACAGCTAGAGTAGAACAATGAGACTGATTGAACCTTCCTGTGAAGTTAGGTAGAGGAGTTGTGTGCCAATTCAAGGAGCAGCATTTGCCTCATATACCAGAGGCACATTAATCAGTTGGAGCAGGCAACCTTCCATAGCCACCTCTGTATCCTGGGTTTACAGTGGATTCCTAGTCTTGGGACTCTTCCACAATAGTAATCAAGACATGTCAAAGAGCAAATATGATTCTCTACCACTTTTCTCATTGATTATTAAATTTAATAGCATTATCATTTTATATACTTTAACCTTGTTTCTGCCTTACACATTTTTGTGTGGGCTCCATTAAAATAAATTTGTGAATATTTGTTTTTATGTTACTCAAGTTTGCTCACATTTTTATGATAGGGCAATCTGAGTGCAGAAGGCCTCAAGGTTATTGCATTATCCACTCATTAGCGTATACAGTTTTCAAGGCTTCATGAAATTATTCTTGCAGAATGGCAGATAAGCTTCTTGTTATGAGATACTTTACTTCTTCGATGCATTTATAAAATCTTAGACAAATGCAGCTTCTTTATATATTTTAAAGGAAATATCCAAGAATCTGTACTGTATATACTTTAATTTTTATTTTAATAAGTGCATAAAACATATTATGTAAATTTGATTTTAAAATATTTTGAGAAACTAAACAGTTTTTCTCACTATAAAAATACCCACAAAATTTTCCAAAGTCATGTTCACTGTAAATTAATTTGTTGTTTACCACAGCTAAGTGTTTGTTAGTGAGAATGTTAAAAAACTAGGTGTAACACCTAATCCTGTACCATTTGGCTGCACACATTAGTGTCATTTTGTGCACTTCCGTCTATCATTACCCTTTGGTTGAGATGTCCCTGATACTTGTAAACTCATATAATGCTTTCTTATGGAAATTGATTCAAGTGTGGTTTACACTGGAACATGATAGAATTCTATGTAAGAAACACTTTGGGGAAAATTTTACAAATGAAATTATTTTTTATTCTTAAAAATAAGACAAATTCCTTGGGTTTACTTTGTAAATAAATAAGTAAATAAAGAGGCTTATTGCTTTCAACATTTAAAATTAGAGCCCTTTTGGAAAAAAAATACAGGATTATATGATCAAGGACAATACACTCTTTCTACAACATGAACAATAACAATCATATGCCAGATATTTGCTACTTTCTGAAATGAAAAGGGAAAATAAAAGTTAGGTAACTCCAGTTACTTAGACTTTTCGCAAAAAGAAAAGAAACAAAACAAAACAAAAACCAGATAAGCAAAAATAAAATTGTAATAGTGTATGAGTTTGAAGGCACACATAGAAACATGTCTTAATTTGGTACACACAGGAAAATTTCTGGGATTTTCGCTAACTCAAAATGAAGAAAGGCACTAACATTTACTATGTGATTTATTTAAGTAGATGTTTTCTAATCATGGGAATTGAGTTATAAAAACATTCTCACCTTTAAAATATGTAAGACTAATTAAATACTTGTCAAATGCATCATTGTGACAAGATGATCCTCTGAGATTTCTATAGTATCCTTTTTCTATCTTCAAGTCACACTGTAATACAGAAAATATTTTACAAATTCCCTCAAAGACAGTTTCCTGAAATATTTTCCCTCTTTTTTTCCCCTTGGAAGACTGGGAAATACATAAAATATGAAACAAAATTCTAAGGAAGTTTGTTAAATAGGTAATCATATAAACATGTGTAGTTGGCATTACATGAATGAAATATATAAAGTAATTAAGATGACCTGGGCAGCCCAAGTCTGAAAAAAAATTTCACTTTTCTTCAAATAATTTTTCCCTATTTTTGGCATTCCATGTTGACATTTGGAATTCAAGATATTCAGACTCATAGTATATCACATAAGTTTAATCTTAAAAGTGAAAAGAAATATTTATCTCAAGTGAATTGTTCTGTCATTACACTCTAATTTTTTATTTATTTACTTCTTTCTTCCTTGGAAAAACAATCATTTCTTCTAACTTTTATATCTCTCTGTTGCCTGTCTGCTTGCTTACTCTTTCAATGTCTTTATATAATAAATTCCTGTGTTATATTACTTTGTATGTATATAGTTCCATATTTGGTTGTCTATTAAGAAAATCTTGCAGATGTTGTAAAAAACTGTCTTTCACATTTTCTGCCATCTGGTATAGGTTGTAGCTGGAAAGAAAGTTGTTATTTGGTGGTAATGGGAATTCATCTCTGCAGAAGTTGTGGAGAGGAGAAAGGCAAGTGGGTCAGGAAGGCTAGAGCCGAAATGAAAATCAGTAAAAGTTGGACAAGTAGAGCCAGGAATGAAAATACGGAGTTTGAAGTTTTTCAGCCATATGTGGTAAACCACTGGAGTTCAGCAGAAAAATGTGAGAATTGATTTACATTTTTTGATGTTTTGTTGTTGCTGTTTTTCCAAAGAACTGAAACCAACATAGTGAGGATAGGATTGGGATTTCAAGGGAGTAAAAACAGAGATAGAGAGGCCAATGAAAACATATTATTGAACTTCTGGCAGAAGGTGATGATGGCTAATGTCTGAACCTTATAAATCATGAACAAGTGAATATGGCTGAATAGAAATTGAACATTGAAATTCCACAACACTAAAGTGGAAAGCAGACCCTAAAGTATGAGGACTGATTTTGAGGAAATTATAGGAAAGTACAAATGAAACTAAATTTGCTGAGTGGCACTGTGCTGGGCACTTGACATGTATTATATGTCTAAATCCTCTCAATCTATAAATGAAGAATTGATTGTCATTCAAAAGGTTGATTAATCTGACTCAGATATTAGATATATGATCGGAGCTAAAATGTTTCTTGGTTGCTTAATGGGATTTATTTCAAAGCATTGTCTGACAGAAATGTATGGGAAATATTTGACTGAAAATTTTATCCCCAAGAAGCACATACAGATCAAAACATAATAGAATGAAGAAAATGTAGATTAATTTATGATGATTGCTTTAGGGTAGATTTTTAAAGCACTTATTAATAATACATACACGGTGTCCATTGCCAAATGACGGGTGGGAACAATGCAGTGAATTATTTTGTGGTTTGACTCCGTGTATCTCATTCTTAACACTTTAATGAAAGATTAAGCCACAAGTTAGGAGAAAACAACTCAGTCTCTGGAGGTCCCTGTGAGGAAGCAGAGTCGTGCTTGAGCCAAGTAATCAGGCAGACACTGGGTGCCTAATTCGTTTTCCTGACAGAGGGAGCTCTTTTATTCATGGTAAAAGAAAAGCAAGTTCCTTCCTTTCCCAATTTAGTGGTTGAAAAAAATAACTTCCTAATGTTACTGTTGACAGTTGATGTATGATTATAGGATATGATTTAAAAATATTAGCAAGTGGGTTTTTTTAGAAAGCACACATTATACAAATATTCAATATTTCTGTTACTTGAAAACTTTAAGAATCTAGAAATGTATCTAGACATTTTTGCTTGAGATTTTAAAAGTCATTTTCATTGACTTATTGTTTAAAATGTCAATTACTTTTTTCTGATGATGTTATTAAAATTATTACTAACTATAGCAGATTTAGAAGGCTTCTTGGATATCTAAAATTGTAGTTTGGATAGCTTTGATATATTGATTGATTGATTAAGGCAGAGTCTCTCTCTGTCGCCCAGACTGGAGTGCAGTGGCATGATCTCGGCTTACTGCAACCTTTGTCTCCCCGGTTCAAGCGATTCTCCTGCCTCAGCCTCCCGAGTAGCTAGGATTACAGGCGTGCGCCACCATGCTCAGCTAATTTTTTTTTTTTTTAGTAGAGATGGGGTTTCACTATGTTGTTCAGGCTGCTCTTGAACTCCTGACCTCAAGTGATCTGTCTGCCACGGCCTCACAAAGTGCTAGGATTACAGGCGTGAGACAGAGTGCTCAGCCTGTATAGAATATTACTATTTTCTATATTGTATTGAACATCATTTCTAGCAACTTGGTATTCTCCAAATAGCATTTACCTTTTGTATTTTGGCTTAGATATTTTAACAGATTTATAGCATTAAAAATCTTTAAATATCTTTCTTCCTTAAAATAGAATATAAAGTTTACTGTATGAAAACATTTCTGAAAGAGAACTCTGACGAGCAATGCAGTATGAAAATAAATGCTCAAGGTAATAAAAGCCACAGTTTAGACAACTAGGCTTTATAGTTATAATCACTTTCCATATTCAATGTCATTATTTTTGTTAGTGTGGCAATTTATAAAACTTATTTAGCAGTGATTCTTTGGTGGCAACCATTTCTGAATGACATTTTAAAAGATGCAAAAGAAAACTGCTGTTAAACATACAATTTGTTTAAGTGTAAATAGATCATACAATATAAAATATATTCTTAAATATATACTTGGCAACACTATAAAATCATATACCCAGAACGTTTCATGATATATTTTGCTCTCCCTTGTAAGCCATGAATGAAATGTAAATTATCGAGGTTTCTGAGGGTAGCAATAGTAACCCCTTTGTTTTGTATAGTATAAGTTGGTATAAAAAATAAAACATTTAAAAAGAGGTATGTGTATCATCACCATTCAGAGATAATGCCTCTGTATATATTGATGCCTTTCTATCAATTTTTTCCTACAGTGATATAGAAATTTTCCTTTGACACCAAATATTATTTGAAAACTTTATTCTCAATAAATAAAATATCGTGAATCATATAAACGATCCCCTATGATGAATATTTAATCCAAATTCTATGATCACATGGTATTACAGATGACCTTCGTATCTAACATTTTAATCATATTGCTTATTGTTTTCCTTGGATAAGTTAATACATTTTAAAAATTTAAATAAATTAATAGCATTCCTTTATATGAAATTAATGGATCAAAAGGGAGAAGTACATTTTCTTTTAAACATGCTTACAAATGTTTCACAAAAGACTTGTGTAATTTAAACATACATCAGGAGTACATATGACAGTCCATGTCACTGAACTTTGAAATACATTGCATATTATAGTTGTCATGTTATCAAATAGTTACCCATAATTATACCTGTAACATTTTTATTTAAATAGTAGCTACTTTAAAATACTTATGCTTATTAGACATTACTTCTGCCTAAATTTCCTGTTCATTCCCTTTTCCCAGTCTTAACTGAGAATGGGCCTCTTCTTTTTCTTAATGATTTCTAAAAACACTTTGAGTATTAATTATATTAAGTAGTCATCTATTTCAAATAATTTTTCAGAATTACTGTATACCTTTTAACATTAAAAGGTATTGTTGATATTCTAAAATTGTAAACTTTTGCAATATAATTCTCTACATTTTACTTTTCTGTAATTATTATGTATAGTTAATGGTTGCATATATTCTGGAGTACATGTGATGTTTGGTACAGGTATATAATATGTAAAGATCCAATCAGGGTAATTGAGATATCTATCATCTTCAGTATTTACCACAGATTTTCATTAGGTAAACACTAATTCCACTCTTTTATTTATTTTAAAATATACAATAATTTATTGTTAACTATAGTCACTCCATTGTGCTATCGAATACCTGTTCTTACATTTTCACTTTATGTTTTCCTCTATTGCTCTTGTATACAAGACTTCTTTTTTAAATAGTAGATTTTAAAATACATATGCATCATTTATTTACATTGTATTATATTACCTTATTCTTTATATTTCTTTTACATTTAAATTTTCCAAATATTTGTAACATATTTGTTCTAATTTCAAAGTAAATTTTCTAATTATTAAAAATTATGTAATTACATTATATTACATGTTTATTTTCTGTCTGATATTAAGGGCTATCTTTTTTTTCTAAAGTGTTTTAAATTTCAAACACATCAAGGTTGTCTATTCTGGTTTTAAAAAATGGTTCCTGGGTGTGTGTGTATATATATATATATTTTTTTTTTTGGAAGATGATTGGAAGATGGTAAGATGTTGTGTTAGTCCATTCTTCTATTGTTATAAAGAAATACTTCAGACTAGGTAATTTATTTTGAAAGGATGCCATTAATTGGCTCATGCTTCTGCTGGCTGTTTATGTAAAAGAGTGCTAGCATCTGCTTCTGGTGAGGACCTAAGGAAGCTTACAATCATGGCAGAAGGTGAAGGGGAGCTAGCATGTCACAAGGTGAGAACTAGATCAAGAGTGAGAGAGGGAGGAAGTGCCACACTCTTTTAAACAACCAGGTCTTGCTTGAACTCACAGCGAGAACTCACTTATCACCAAGGGGATGGTGCTAAGCTATTCCTGAGAAACGAGCCCCCACAATCTAGTCACCACCTACCACGTCCCACCTCCAACACTGGCAATCACATTTCTGTATTTTTAATTTTTGTGAGTACGCAGTAGGTGTATATATGAATGGGGTACCTGTTTTAATACAGGCATATAATGTGTAATAATCAAATCAGGATAAAGGAGTTATCCATTACCTCAAGTACTTATCCTTAGTGTTGCAAACAATGCAATTATACTCTTTTAATTACTTTTAAATGTACAATTAAATAATTATTGACTATAGTTACTCTTTTGCTATGAAATTCTAGGTCTTGTTCATTCTTTCTTACTATTGTACTGAACCCATTAACCACCCCTACTTCCTCTCCACACACCCCACTACTTTTCCCAGTCTCCCATAAACATGCTTCAACTCTGTATCTCCATGAGTTCAAATGTTTTAATTTTTAGCTTTCACAAAGCTAACTTATGTAGTTTACTTTTCTGTGCCTGGCTTATTTCATTTAACATAATGACCACCAGTTTTATCCATACTGCAAATGACAGGAATGCATTCTTTTTTATAACTGAATAGTACTCCATTATATATGTATACCACGTGTTCTTTACCCATTTGTCTCTTGATAGACACAGAGTGCCTCAAATCTTGGCCATCGTGAATAGTACTGTAATGAACATGGGAGTGCAAAAACGTCTTCATTATACTGGTTGTCTTCTTGTGGGTATAAATTAATACCGAGAAATGGATTGCTGCATTGTATGGTAGCTGCAGTTTTAGTTTTTTGGGGAACCTTCAAACTGTTCTTCAAAGTGGCTGTACTAATTTACATTCCCACCAACAGTGTGTGAGGATTCCTTTTTCTCTACCTGGCCTCCAGCATTTGTTATTGCCTATTTTTTTAATAAGGGCCATTATAACTGAGTTGATATGATACCTCATTGTAGTTTTGAATTGCATTTTTTGATGAGCAATGATGTCAAGCAGCTTCTTATATGTCTATTTTCCATTTTTATGTCTTTTTCTGAGAAATATCTATTCAGAGCTTTTGACCATGTTTTAATTGGATCATTAGATTTTCTTTTTCCTATAGAGTTGTTTGAGCTCCTCATATACTTTTGTTATTAATCCCTTTTCAGATGGGGAGTTTACAAATATCTCCTCTCATTCTGTGGGTTGTCTCTTGACTTTATTAATTGTTTCCTTGGCCGTGTAGAAGCATTTTAACTTGATGTAATTTTATTTGTCCATTTTTGCTTTGGTTGCTTGTGCTTGTAGGGTATTGCTCAAGAAATATTTGGCCACTCCAATGTCTTGGAGAATTCCCCCAATATTTTCTTATAGTAGTTAAACAGTTTGAGTTTTTAAATTTAAATCTTTAAATCATTATGATTTGATTTTGGTATATGGCAAGAGAAAGGGGTCTAGTTTCATTTTTCTCAATATAGATATCCAGTTTTCCCAGCACCATTTATTGAAGAAACTGTCTTTTCCCCAATTTATGTTCTTGGCATCTTTGTCAAGAATGAGCTCACTGTAGGTGTGTGGATTTCTTTCTGGGTCTTAATTCTGTTTCACTGATGTATGTGTCTGTTTTTAGGCCAGTAACTTGTTGTTTTGCTAACTATAGCTCTGTATTATTATTTGAAGTCAGGTAATGTGATTCCTCCAGTTTTGTTATTTTTGATCAAGATAGCTTTAGCTACTCTGGGTCTTTTGTGGTTCCATATACATTTTAGGATGGCTTTTTCTATTTCTGTGAAGAATGTTATTGGTATTTTTTTAAGGATTGCATTGAATCTGTAGACTGCTTTGGATAGACATTTTAAAAATATTGATGCTTCCAATCCATGAACATGAAATAGCTTTCCATTTCAGGGGTCTCTTCAATTTCTTTCATCAGTGTTTTGCAGTTTTCATTGTAGATATCTTTCAGTTCTTTGGTTGAGTTAATTCTCAGATATTTTACTTTATTTGTAGCTACTGTAAATAAGATTACTTCCTTGATTTTTTTCAGATTGTTCATTGTTGTCATACAGAAATGTTACTAGTTTTTGTATGTTGATTTAGTATGGTGCAACTTTACTGAATTTATCAGTTCTAATGGTTTTCTGGGTGGAGTCTTTAGGTTTTTCCATCTGCAAATAAGGATAATTTGACTTCTTCCTTTCCAATTTGGGTGTCCTTGGTTACTTTCTCTTGTCTAATAGCTCTAGTGAGGACTTCCAGTAGCATGTGAAATAACAGTGGTGAAAGTGGACATCTTGTCATTTTCTAGATTTAAGCAAAAATAATTTTAATTTTTACCCATTCGGTATGATGCTACCTATGGGTTTGTCATATATGATTTTTATTGGGTTTAAGTATGTTGTTTGTATACCCAGTTTTTTGAGAGTTCTTATCATGAAATAATGTTAAACTTTATCAAATGTTTTTCAGCATCAATGGAAATGAGTATATCATTTTCTTCTTAATTCCGTTGATATGATGTCTCATGTTTATTGATTTGTGTATGCTGAACCATCCTTACATCCTTGGAATAAATCCTACTTGGTCATAATGAATGAATTTCTTAATGTGTTGTGAATTCAGTTTTCTAGCAATTTGTTGAGAATTGTTACAATTGTCATATGAATGTTCATCAGAAATATTGGCCTGTAGTTTTTTTATTTTTATGTGTTTTTGTCTGATTTGGGGATCATGGTAATACTGGCCTATTAACATGAGTGTAGAAATATATTCCCTTCTCCTCTATATTTTGGAATAATTTGAATAGTATTGGCATTACTGCTTTAAATGTTTGTTAGAATTCAGCAGTGAAGCCAATGGGTTCTCGGCATTTTTTTTAACAGGGAGAATTTTGACTACACCTTCCATCTTGTTAGTTATTATTAGTCTGTTCAGGTTTTGGATTTCTTTATGATTCAATATTGATAGGTTATATGTGTCTAGCAATTTATCATCTATTTCTTACAGATTTTCCATTTTATTGGCTTATGGTTGCTCACGGTAGCCGCTAATGATCCTTTGAATTTCTATGATGTTAATTGTAATGACTCTTTTTCATATCTAAATTTATTTATTTGGGTCTTCTCTTGTTTTTTTCTCAGTTGGGCTAAAGGTTTGTTTTTGTTTATCTTTTCAAAAAAACCTTTTTGTTTCGTGATCTGTTGTATTGTTCTGTTTCAATTACATTTATTTTTGCTCTGATCTTTATTGTGTATTTTCTTCTACTAATTTAGGGTTTGGTTTGCTCTTGATTTTTTAGTTCTTTAAGATGCAACACTAGGTTATTTATTCAAAGTTTTTTTGTTCCTGTCGGTGGGCGGGTTGAGGGGGAGAGGGTGGAATGATTGGCAGAGGCTAGTCTCTAGTTGTCTTGCTCCACCCCTCCCTGGGATTCACATTTCAACACGATATTTGGAGGGGACAAACATCCAGATGATATCAGATGTATTTTTCTAAATTCTGGAGATTAATCATCTCTTGCTTTTAACAGAAATGCTAAATTATCAGAAAATAAATTCATTTATTACTTTCTATCAAACAGTATAATTTAAAAACTATAGGACTTATATGATTATACAACCCATATGCCCAAAAATAAGCCTTGAAGAGATTCTAACATGTTTGCTGCCCTTGTTTCATAGTAGAATGGTTTACCCAAGTAACAATGTCCATATCTCAGCAGGAATTCTGCCACTGTGCTTTATATTCACAGACCTATCACTATTCACAGTTTGATACATGAAGAAGTTACATAGTTTCTCACTAGAGATACCATTAAAATTATATTTATCAAAGACAAAACTTTTGGACCTCAAAAAGAGTAGGAATTATTAAGACCAAAGAGTCCAACAAAGTGTCTAATTTAACTCTTTATTTTAATAATATGAAGAACTACTTCTCTTTCTCATTTTATCCATCCTTCAATTCTGGTGAATTAGCAAAGAATGAATAACTAGTGTTGAACTGGTTTTGTATTAGACTTCCAAGAAGACTGATACAATTCTTTAACTCAATTAAATTCAGCAAACTAGTGACTTGGGAGTAGAAGTAAGAATGAATATTATTCCCTCTTGTCTTTAATGCACCTGGAAATCAAAAACAAAAAAAAACAAACCTAAAAGAGGTATAGAAAAAAATCTTTCACAATTTTGACAATGATCATGAGCATGATTTACATCTTATTTGCAATTATAAGCCACTCATAGATAAATTTTTGTATGTGTGTAAGTGGGGAAGAGATTTCTATATGAGTAACATAACTATTTATATCAAATCTCACAGATATCATAATTTGAAAACTTTATCATGAGAAAAATATGATTATAAATTGAGACTGATGTTTCAGGTTTAGCCCAAGAAGATTCTCAAACAGAATGTGTAATTGAATTACAAATTGAATGTGTAATCTTAAATTGTTCAGAGTGTTTTGAGTTTTTCACAGAAAAAAATCCTAAATCAGAATTACTCTTGGTTTCTATTGTTCTGTTCAAAATTTCAACCACTCCTTTCCCAACTACTGCCATCAATTTGCAAGGATACATCCAAGAGGCAACTCAGAATGAAGTACTTGGAGTTATGTTCAACCTTAAATGTTTGTGTAAACTTTTCAATATTATTTTTTAGCTAAGAGTGTCCAGGTGATTCAGTTATACATGAAAGGATATAAGTAAAAGTATTAGGTTCAATTTCCAGGTGATATCTTTAAAAGGAAGCTACTTGCCCTTCTTGATTCTCTCCCCAAAACACCCCGAACACACACACTCAGACTTTACTTGTAGGCAGGAACACAGTTGTGGTGTTGGTGAAGCTTAGGACTTAGGGTGAGGAGATATCTCAGGGAAGGGCAGAGAAACATAGGGAATAAATCTCTGTTCCTGAAGGACCTTGTAGGGGAAATTCACAGTTTCCCAATGTTGATTCTCAATTTAGATATTTACAATAAAATAAATATCAGTTTTCTGTCTTATTTTTATTTAGTTACTGCTAAATAAATTGAAAAAAAATCTTACCTGTTGTATTATTCTATTTTTGTCTATTATACAGAAATATTTTATTTGAATTCCTCATATATATTCCCATTCTTTTTTGTGTACATCTACTCATAGTCCCCAACATTAAATACCCAGAAGTGAAAATGTCAAGTTAAATTTTTCAATGTTAAAATAATATATGATTAAAACTGCTCTATAAAATAGTTGAACTATTTTCCACTACCATACAGCAGTGCATATGAATACACATTTCCTGATTGTCTTCTAGTATTTGATATTATCAACTATTAGGGTTGCCATGTTTTCCAAGTATAAATATGTTTAAAACCATCAGTACATCATCATCACTGTTTTTAGTCATTATTAATTTTTCTTAGACCCACATATTTATATGTATATTGTTCTGCATTCATTCCTTAATTTCTCATCTTCCATCTGGAATAATTTTTCATTTGCCTAATGAGCACTCACCCCCATCTTTGTTCTTAGTATTGGCAATCTTGTAATATTTTCTAACACTCTCTGTGTGTCCACAGATTATTTCGCTTTATTTCTCAATGGATACTAGCAGTGATAAAATTCCGGTTCAATGGTTATTTTTTTCTAGCACTTTAAGATATACCATTTCTTTGTATTCTAGCTTCCATTGTTTCTACTTTGGTTTCATCGTTAACAAGTTAATGTTAGTTTAGTTACCTGTGCCAGTTATTAAGTTGTGTTTCAGCTACATATTATCTTCCTAAAAATTTATTTGTGGGGTTGCTTATTAGAATGTATAAACCATATTTCTGCTTTGCCAACCAGTTCTACATTAATCTCTGCCTATGGGGATGATTGAAAAAAATGAGAAGACTGGAAGAGAAAGAACCAACTTGCTTCTTTCCAGTTGCTTCCAAAGGGCTCTTTTTTGCTTGAGGTTGCCCTTACAGACTTTAAAAATATCTTTTTTTCATATTTATCTTCCTTTAAATATTTACAATTATTTTAGGTTTTCAAAAAATTACACTAATCACACTATATATTTTATATTTTCCTTTAACTATATAACAATTATGTCTATAAATTTATTCATTTCCAAACCATTTTAATTACGGTCTCCTTTTATATTATATAAATAAAATAATTTATTTAACCAGTTCCTAATTATTAAATTTTGAAGTTTCTTTAAATATCTATTTCATTATCTTTTGTAACTATTAAATTTTAATATGACATTTACCTGCCATATAATACTCTTTTTCAAATTAAGCTAAGCATTTTATAGATGATCATTTCTGCTATGATGCAATAACCATGAGAATAAGTCATTGCTTTTTTTCTTGCTAATGAGGGACTGAGATTTCGAAAGTTTAGGTGGTTTACTTAAGCTCACACATTAAGTCATTGTTTGGTTTTCTTTTAGGTTACACCAAAGCTAAACTATTTTAACAATATTTATATCAAATAATTCTTATTCTTTGCATTTTGTCTGCTGGCATGCTTGCTTTATTGCTTTGGTCTCTAGCACCTATTTGCCATACTTCTGAAAAGGGATCACAGTTTTCTTTTGAGGATTAAAACCCCATTCAACCTTAGGGTATACAGTTTGGGTGGGACATCACCTCTACAAATAGGAAAGGGGCATGTAATCTAGTTCTAAACAAGTTGATAGACTTACATCCTTGGTCAAAGTTAATTCATTGCTGCCCATGTGACTCAGACCATATCAACCAGACTTACTTAGAGCTATTTTTTTTTTATTTTTTGGGTGAGTCGGGGGAGCATCAAGGGCAAATTTGGTTTTGAACCTCAGCACTTGTGAAGCTGCAGTCAACCTGTCCTGCATAGGCACATGAAGAACAAACCCAGCACATGGAGAGGGGCAAAGCTAAGTCAAGAGATGGGGGCCAATCTGCTTCTCATGATATGTCTAGCACCCAGAATTCAATGACTCCCAAAGCCAGTTATACTCATCTAAAACTCCTTTTAACAATCATCTATTAACAGCTATTTTTTTATTGAGTTTCTTCACTGAGTCAGTCAATACACTAAGTACTTTATCTGATATAGTAATTTTTAATGCTTAAAACAACTTTGAGATGCAGATATTATTGCTATCTTTATATAACACATAAGAAAAATAAGGCCTAGAGTGTTTTATAAGACTTGTAATATATATCTGAATTCATGGAGTAGATGTTATGATTAAAATTTGGTCATTCAGAATGTTAAGTTTAACATTTCTCTCTACTGTCTTTTTTTTTTTTTTGAGCAAGTGTGACTTGTTTTTCTGCTGTTGCAACCACAAATATACTTACTTATGCAGTAATGAATGATTATTACCTTCTTTATAATCTCTTCTATTGTTTTGCGATATTCTATTTTAATTTATTCTTCTTTCCAATTGTCAATATACATGAAATAATCTCTGTCTGGATTTTATGTCCAGGCCATCTTTCTATTTTTTATTTATCACCCTTTTCATGATACAGAATATATTGATGATTGGGATTAAATGGAATTTAATATGGTTATGAGTTATATTCCCCATTGTCAGTAACTTTTGTGCGATAAAAAGCACTCCGGATATGACGCATCTGCTAGAAATAATGATTCTGTCTTGCTGTCTGTCCTTCAACAAATTAGTCCTTAATAAGGCAACTAGTAATGCTCAAGGTCTATTTGGACGTAAAATATGTATTAGACATTGTAGACAATCACATTTTTTTTATTATTATACTTTAAGTTTTAGGGTACATGTGCACAATGTGCAGGTTTGTTACATATGTATACATGTGCCATGTTGGTGTGCTGCACCCATTAACTCGTCATTTAGCATTAGGTATATCTCCTAATGCTATCCCTCCCCCTCCACCCACCCCACAACAGTCCCCAGTGTGTGATGTTCCCCTTCCTGTGTCCATATGTTCTCATTGTTCAATTCACACCTATGAGTGAGAACATGCGGTGTTTGGTTTTTTGTCCTTGCAATAGTTTGCTGAGAATGATGGTTTCCAGCTTCATCCATGTCCCTACAAAGGACATGAACTCATCATTTTTTATGGCTGTATAGTATTCCATAGTGTATATGTGCCACATTTTCTTAATCCAGTCTATCATTGTTGGACATTTAGGTTGGTTCCAAGTCTTTGCTATTGCGAATAGTGCAGCAATAATCATATGTGTGCATGTGTCTTTATAGCAGCATGATTCATAATCCTTTGGGTATATACGCAGTAGTGGGATGGCTGGGTCAAATGGTATTTCTAGTTCTAGAACCCTGAGGAATCACCACACTGACTTCCAAAATGGTTGAACTAGTTTACAGTCCCACCAACAGTGTAAAAGTGTTCCTATTTCTCCACATCCTCTCCAGCACCTGTTGTTTCCTGACTTTTTAATGATTGTCATTCTAACTGGTGTGCGATGGTATCTCACTGTGGTTTTGATTTGCATTCCTCTGATGGCCAGTGATGATGAGCATTTTTTCATGTGTCTTTTGGCTGCATCAATGTCTTCTTTTGAGAAGTGTCTGTTCATATCCTTCGCCCACTTTTTGATGGGGTTGTTTGTTGTTTTCTTGTAAATTTGTTTGAGTTCATTGTAGATTCTGGATATTAGCCCTTTGTCAGATGAGTCGGTAGCAAAAATTTTCTCCCATTCTGTAGGCTGCCTGTTCACTCTGATGGTAGTTTCTTTTGCTGTGCAGAAGCTTTTTAGTTTAATGAGATCCCATTTGTCAATTTTGGCTTTTGTTGCCATTGCTTTTGGTGTTTTAGACATGAAGTCCTTGCCTGTGCCTGTGTCCTCAATGGTATAGCCTAGCTTTTCTTCTGGGGTTTTTATAGTTTGAGGTCTAATGTTTAAGTCTTTAATCCATCTTGAATTAATTTTTGTATAAGGTGTAAGGAAAGGATCCAGTTTCAGCTTTCTACATATGGCTAGCCAGTTTTCCCAGCACCATTTATTAAACAGGGAATCCTTTCCCCATTGCTTGTTTTTGTCAGGTTTGTCAAAGATCAGATAGTTGTAGATATGCGGCATTATTTCTGAGGGCTCTATTCTGTTCCATTGGTCTATATCTCTGTTTTGGTATCAGTACCATGCTGTTTTGTTTACTGTAGCCTTGTAGTATAGTTTGAAGTCAAGTAGCTTGATGCCTCCAACTTTGTTCTTTTGGCTTAGGATTGACTTGGCTATGCAGGCTCTTTTTTGGTTCCATATGAACTTTAAAGTAGTTTTTTCCAATTCTGTGAAGAAAGTCATTGGTAGCTTGATGGGGATGGCATTGAATCTATAAATTACCTTGGGCAGTATGGCCATTTTCATGATATTGATTCTTCCTACCCATGAGCATGGAATGTTCTTCCATTTCTTTGTATCCTCTTTTATTTCATTGAGCAGTGGTTTGTAGTTCTCCTTGAAGAGGTCTTTCACATCCCTTGTAAGTTGGATTCCTAAGTATTTTATTCTCTTTGAAGCAATTGTGAATGGGATTTCACTCATGATTTGGCTCTCTGTTTGTCTGTTATTGGTGTATAAGAATGCTTGTGATTTTTGCACATTGATTTTGTATCCTGAGACTTTGCTGAAGTTGCTTATCAGCTTAAGGAGATTTTGGGCTGAGACAATGGGGTTTTCTAGATATACAATCATGTCATCTGCAAACAGGGACAATTTGACTTTCTCTTTTCCTAATTGAATGCCCTTTATTTCCTTCTCCTGCCTGATTGCCCTGGCCAGAACTTCCAACACTATGTTGAATAGGAGTGGTGAGAGAGGGCATCCCCATCTTGTGCCAGTTTTCAAAGGGAATGCTTCAAGTTTTTGTCCATTCAGTATGATATTGGCTGTGGGTTTTTCATCGATAGCTCTTATTATTTTGAGATACGTCCCATCAATACCTAATTTATTGAGAGTTTTTAGCATGAAGGTTGTTGAAGGCATTTTCTGCATCTATTGAGATAATCATGTGGTTTTTGTCTTTGGTTCTGTTTATATGCTGGATTACATTTATTGATTTTCATATGTTGAACCAGCCTTGCATCCCAGGGATGAAACCCACTCAATCATGGTGGATAAGCTTTTTGATGTGCTGCTGGATTTGGTTTGCCAGTATTTTATTGAGGATTTTTGCATCATTTTTCATCAAGGATATTGGTCTAAAATTCTCTTTTTTTGTTGTGTCTCTGCCAGGCTTTGGTATCAGGATGATGCTGGCCTCACAAAATGAGTTAGGGAGGATTCCCTCTTTTTCTATTGACTGGAATAGTTTCAGAAGGAATGGTACCAGCTCCTCCTTGTACCTCTGGTAGAATTCGGCTGTGAATCCATCTGGTCCTGGACATTTTTGGTTGGTAAGCTATGAATTATTGCCTCAATTTCAGATCCTGTTATTGGTCTATTCAGATATTCAACTTCTTCCTAGTTTAGTCTTGGGAGAGTGTATGTATTGAGGAATTCATGCATTTCTTCTAGATTTTCTAGTTTATTTGAGTAGAGGTGTTTATAGTATTCTCTGATGGTAGTTTGTATTTCTATGGAATCACTGGTGATATCCCCTTTGTCATTTCTTATTGCATCTATTTGATTTTTCTCTCTTTTCTTCTTTATTAGTCTTGCTAGCAGTCTATCAATTTTGTTGATCTTTCCAAAAAAACCAGCTCCTGGATTCACTGATTTTTTGAAGGGTTTTTTTGTGTCTCTATTTCCTTCAGTTCTGCTCTGATCTTAGTTATTTCTTGCCTTCTGCTAGCTTTTGAATGTGTTTGCTCTTGCTTTCCTAGTTCTTTTAATTGTGATGTTAGGGTGTCAATTTTGGATCTTTCCTGCTTTCTTTTGTGGGCATTTAGTGCCATAAATTTCCCTCTACACACTGCTTTCAATGTGTCCCAGAGATTCTGGTATGTTGTGTCTTTGTTCTTGTTGTTTTGAAAGAACATCTTTATTTCTGCCTTCATTTTGTTATGTACCCAGTAGCCACTCAGGAGCAGGTTGTTCAGTTTCCATGTAGTTGAGCAGTTTTGAGTGAGTTTCTTAATTCTGAGTTCTAGTTTGATTGCACTGTGGTCTGAGAAACAGTTTGTTATAATTTCTGTTCTTTTACATTTGCTGAGGAGTGCTTTACTTCCAACTATGTGGTCAATTTTGAAATAGGTGTGGTGTGGTGCTGAAAAGAATGTATATTCTGTTGATTTGGGGTGGAGAGTTATGTAGATGTCTATTAGGTCCACGTGGTGCAGAGCTGAGTTCAATTCCTGGATATCATTATTAACTTTCTGTCTCGTTGATCTGTCTAATGTTGACAGTGGGGTGTTAAAGTCTCCCATTATCACTGTGTGGGAGTCTAAGTCTCTTTGTAGGTCACTCAGGACTTGCTTTATGAATCTGGGTGCTCCTGTATTGGTTGCATATATATTTAGGATAGTTAGTTCTTCTTGTTGAACTGATCCTTTTACCATTATGTAATGCCCTTCTTTGTCTCTTTTGATCTTTGTTGGTTTAAAGTCTGTTTTATCCAAGACTAGGATTGCAACCCCTCCCTTTTTTTGTTTTCCATTTGCTTGGTAGATCTTCTTCCATCCCTTTATTTTGAGCCTATGTGTATCCCTGCATGTGAGATGGGTTTCCTGAATACAGCACACTGATGAGTCTTGACTCTTAATCCAATTTGCCAGTCTGTGCCTTCTAATTGGAGCATTTAGCCCATTTACATTTAAGGTTAATATTGTTATGTGTGAATTTGATCCTGTCATTATGATTTTAGCTGGTTATTTTGCTCATTAGTTGATGCAGTTTCTTCTTAGCCTTGATGGTCTTTACAATTTGGCATGTTTTTGAAGTGGCTGGTACCAGTTGTTCCTTTCCATGTTTAGTGCTTCCTTCAGGAGCTCTTTTAGGGCAGGCCTGGTGGTGACAAAATCTCTCAGCATTTGCTTGTTTGTAAAGTATTTTATTTCTCCTTCACTTATGAAGCTTAGTTTGGCTGGATATGAAATTCTGGGTTGAAAATTCTTTTCTTTAAGAATGTTGAATATTGGCCCCCACTCTCTTCTGGCTTGTAGAGTTTCTGCTGAGAGATCTGCTGTTAGTCTGATGGGCTTCCCTTTGTGGGTAACCCGACCTTTCTCTCTGGCTGCCCTTAACATTTTTTCCTTCATTTCAACTTCTTTGGTGAATCTGACAATTATGTGTCTTGGAGTTGCTCTTCTCGAGGAGTATCTTTGTGGCGTTCTCTGTATTTCCTGAATTTGGATGTTGGCCTGCCTTGCTAGATGGGGGAAGTTCTCCTGGATAATATCCTGCAGAGTGTTTTCCAACTTGGTTCCATTCTCCCCGTCACTTTCAGGTACACCAATTAGATGTAGATTTGGTCTTTTCACATAGTCCCATATTTCTTGGAGGCTTTGTTTGTTTCTTTTTATTCTTTTTTCTCTAAACTTCTCTTCACACTTCATTTCATCCATTTTGTCTTCCATCACTGATACCCTTTCTTCCAGTTGATCACATCAGTTACTGAGGCTTGTGCATTCGTCACGTAGTTCTCGTGCCTTGGTTTTCAGCTCCATCAGGTCCTTTAAGGACTTCTCTGCATTGGTTATTCTAGTTATCCATTGGTCTAATTTTTTTTTCAAAGTTTTTAACTTCTTTGCCATTGGTTCGAACTTCCTCCTTTAGCTCGGAGTAGTCTGATCTTCTGAAGCCTTCCTCTCTCAACTCGTCAAAGTCATTCTCCATCCAGCTTTGTTCCATTGCTAGTGAGGAGCTGCATTCCTTTGGAGGAGGAGAGGCGCTCTGATTTTTAGAGTTTCCGGTTTTTCTGCTCTGTTTTTCCCCATCTTTGTGGTTTTATCTACCTTTAGTCTTTGATGATGGTGACGTACAGATGGGTTTTTGGTGTGGTTGTCCTTTCTGTTAGTTTTCCTTCTAATGATGAGGACCCTCAGCTGCAGGTCTGTTGGAGTTTACTGGAGGTCCACTCCAAACCCTGTTTGCCTGGGCATCAGCAGTGGTGGGTGCAGAACAGCAGATATTGGTGAACTGCAAATGCTGCTGTCTCTTCGTTCCTCTGGAAGTTTTGTCTCAGAGGAGTACCCGGCCATGCGAGGTGTCAGTCCACCCCTACTGGGGGGTGCCTCCCAGATAGGCTACTCGGGAGTCAGGGACCGACTTGGGGAGGCAGTCTGCCCATTCTCAGATCTCAAGCTGCATGCTGGGAGAACCACTACTCTGTTCAAAGCTGTCAGACAGAGACATTTAAGTCTGCAGAGGTTATTGCTGTCTTTTGTTTGTCTGTACCCTGCCCCCAGAGGTGGAGCCTACAGAGGCAGGCATTCCTTCCTGAGCTGTGGTGGGCTCCACCCAGTTCCAGCTTCCTGGCCGCTTTGTTTACCTACTCAAGCCTGAGCAGTGGCGGGCGCCCCTCCCCCAGCCTCACTGCAGCCTTGCAGTTTGATCTCAGACTGCTGTGCTAGCAACAAGCGAGGCTCTGTGGGAGTAGGACCCTCCAAGCCATGTGTGGGATATAATCTCCTGGTGTGCCGTTTAAGCCCATTGGAAAAGCGCAGTATTAGGGTGGGAGTGACCCAATTTTCCAGGTGCCATCTGTCACCCCTGTCTTTGACTAGGAAAGGGAATTCCCTGACCCCTTGCACTTCTGGGGTGAGGCGATCCCTCGCCCTGCTTTGGCTCACGCAGGGTGCGCTGCACCTACTATCCTGCACCCACTGTCCAGCACTCCCCAGTGAGATGAACCCAGTATCTCAGTTGGGAATGCAGAAATCACCCATCTTCTGCGTCGCTCATGCTGGGAGCTGTAGACGGTAGGTGTTCCTATTCAGCCATCTTGGCTCCACCCAACAATTACATATTATTTTTAAAATATAGAGTGACTTTCTTTATGTTTTCTTCTGGTCTTCACACTATTTTATAAAATTTTAGTTAATGTTAGAAATTACAGAGTAAATATTTTTAGATTGAGAAAAATGTTATTTTGGGTAGAAAGAATCTGACATACTACAATTACTTATAAGGTAACATTTTTATATTATTTACAAGTATATTTACAGCAACATTTTTAACATGAACTTTTACAAATATGAAGCAATCAAATATGCAATTTAAATGGAATACAGGAAAACATTTTCTTTTGTGATAATAGTGTAGTATAACTGCAATAACCTTCACAAGAAAATGATAGCATTGTCCTGCCACAGAAATAAGATTCTATGTTTTTTGATAGGAACTATAAAACTCACATTATTCTGTTCTAAACTGAATCATTTAAAAAAACCTGCTGCTGCAGAATCACACAATTTTTCTGTAAAAATTTGTCTTATATATCCCAAGATGCTATTATTGAAAACAATAAAATATACTATTGTAAGATCAACCAGGGTTGATATGACTATATTCTTGTAAGCTGAAAAAGACAATCAGCATGATAATTAGAGCATGTTAATTACTCTCTACCGGAAACAAAAAATGCAAATGATATACAGCAGGAAATTAACAGCAGTTACTGTTCAATATTGCATGACTTTTCCATTAAGAATAATATGAGAAGTTGTTAAATTATAGAAAATGAGAATAATGAGGCTAGAATATTAAAGAGCTTTAGGTTTCCGGTCTGGCTGTGGAGGAAATCATTAGAAATGATTCTGAGCAAGTGTTACATTCTGTGTGGGTTCAGCAAGCTTGTGGAGTACAATGGGGAAATCTCCATGTATGCTTTTGTTTTTACAAGCTCGAACAAGACTGAGTATTCTGGCTCAGCTAGAAGCAGTTCAGTAACTTTTCCTGAATAATACATTTGCCAAAATCTAACACCATTTCACCCTTTTCTTTAAAAATTTTGGACTGATGGAACAATGAGTATAATTTGCCACACTCTCAGAACAATCCAAAGAGTAAGAAAAAGTCTTTTAATTACAAATCATTTTTAAAGGAAAATGATTATATGCCTCAGATTTAGATAAAATGTAAATATGGCAAGAAACTAAGAAACCTTAACTTTTTCATATGTACTACAAAGAAAGAGTCACATGAACTATCTTTTGGAACGTTTTAATGTGAAAAGAAACTGCATTACAATCATAATACATCACCTAATTTACCATCATCCCTATATAATTTCTTCTGTAAAATGATACAAATAGAGAAGGAGTAAAACTAGAAACTGTGATACTAAATATATATTTGGGAGAATGTGCAAGTATACTTTATAATAAATACACTTTAAGTTCTGAGGGAAACAACATGCTTGCTCCTAAACAAATAATTAATTTATTCAAGCCAACAGGACATACTTTAGTAGACTAGTAACTTACATTAAAATTAAAATTATTGGTTCATAAAAAAGGAGGGGAGATGAGTTAAAACAGAATATTTGCAACATTTTAGTTTTTGTTTATTTAGGAATTTTACAATTAGTTGAGTATAATCAATGTACATTTATCTTGATTTATACCATAGCATATACAACAGCTATACTACTTAATGATTTAACTACTTTATTTTGTTTTACTCTTAGTCTAAGATCTTGTGTTTTAAGTTTTTTTTAAAAAGTTCAACATAAAATTAAAGACAATGTATTCTATGAGATCATGATCTTTATATGATTTAAGCAATAGACATGTTTTCACCTGTAGGGCAGAGTTTGAAGTTTACTTCTTCATACTGTCCAATAACTCCAGATCCACTATGAAAACTTCTTATTTTTTTGCTTGAACACAGCCTGTTTTTCCTAATAAAATAATGAGTTCTTATCATAATCCCTCATTTGCCTTATTTTCTTCTTAACATCTATTTGTTACAGACTGCCCTCTGGCTTCATTTGTGGAAAGACATTTTAAAAGCATCCTTGTAAGTACTATATCACTAAAACTATTCCACAACAAAATTATTGGCATAAGTAGATTATCATAGCTAAATGCAAGCTGTTGCTAACTACACATAAGCAAGCTTAACCATCGCTTGTATAATATCATTGCACTCCAGGTAGGCAATTCATTCCTTTGGAAATATCTCCAAAACAGCCCTCAAAATGATTATTGCCCAGTAAATACACATTTTGCTGCTTAGTGCCATGTTGTTATTTTTGTTGTTGTTTTTCCACCACAGCAGTTTTAAAAACAGTTTCTCTGACATTAATATCATACTGTTTCTAACCTTTCGGATCTGTGCCATATTTTTCATCAAAATTCAAACAAATAGATTAAAGAAGTGAGATTCTGCTTAAGACTTTACAATTTCCACCCTACATCATTTAGATCATGTAATCTTCTTTCACTGAGCACACAGAAAGCAGTAAGACAGCTTTCCATGCAAACTAATTGGAGGAACACAATCATATGAGCCATCTTCCTAACCGCTGCTAATTTTCACAGTTGACTCCATTGTGATATGAACGACACATATTCTGACAACATTCAAAATGGAGTATGTATACAGGCACCACCTGAAGGTGTTCTTATGATTATATTGAACATTAAGTTGTAGAAGTACATAGTGGGCCCAGGATCTGATATACCCTCAGGAGAAACACTTCAAATGAAAGACAGAAGTAAAAGCAAACATGCAACAACAGCAACAAAGTACGTATCCTTTGAAAGCCCCCAAACCACACAATTTTTAATACATTTTTAGTTCTGGTTCGTATAATAGTTCCGCGTGGCAAATAGGACATATGTGAAATATTGAAGTTTACAATTAACTTATATATTAAAGTAAATTTAAGTAATGCAATTTTACAGAGAATATAAAGCATCAAAAAGTAAACAATAAAGTAAATGACATAAATTTTACAGATTTTATTTCAGTTTTAGGACTCCAAATCTTCCACTCTTTTTATGTAACACAATGATGCCACTCAGATCATTAGCACAAACACAAGTCCATGTTTTATATAACATGTATCACGATTTCTTTCACATACATCAGGACAGTTAATCTTAAGATGCTACAAGGGCTTCATGCTTTTCTCTAATTACATACGAGAAAACTGATTGATAGAATTTAAAAGGCTGGTTCAATAAAGAAGCCTGGTTTTGAAAATATTCTAATACCTGGTCCTGGATTCTTTCTACTATATAACAGAATTTACAGATAGGAAGTAACTGGCCTGTCATTTACTCAACAAATAAATAATTATCACCTCCCAAGTGTTAAGTACTTTTCTATTCACACTGAGGGGAAAAAAACACAGAAATATTTCTGCTTTAATGCTGCTTCTATTTTTTATATTATTGTTATTTTTTGCTAAGTGATAGAAAGGTAGTAGCAGGATAAAAGGGAGCAAGAGCAGCACGGGTGTGGGGTAGCATACCTCTGCCTACCTTTTATATGGTTATATTTATGGAGGTCCGTGATTTATCATTATTCCCACTTAAACTTAACCCTGAGTTCATGGGGAATTTTTGCTTTTCCTAACATAGGATTTTTTTTTATTTATCTTTCCCTTGGCAAGTATATTTGAATATAGTCATCTCTCTTTCTTGGCCTAGCTGATTCCCATTTGTCATTAAAGACAGAACTTAGTGATTATCTTCTCTAAAAAGTTGCTCTTCAACTTTCCAATATAAATGGCCACTCCTTTTTTTCTAATTTTCAGCATTTATGATTATCAGAGGAAGTGCTCTGCTTTAATTCATCTGTTTATGTGTTTATATTACCACGTAATATTTTTTAATGAAAAGTCACATTTTTTCCAGCAATTGGCACAATGCCTGGCACTTGGTAGGGAGTCAATAAATCTTTATCCAGTTAAATGCCACTAGAGTTCTATGGTGTTATTTGTTCTAGTGATTGTCCCAAACAGACAATAATTACAATGATATAAGGGCTTCTTTTTCCTTTTTTAATGGGGAATTTTACAACGAATATCAAATTTTTGAAATTGAGTCACTCATGAAAAGAGAATTTTTTGTCTTTTTAAAGAGCAACAAAACATTTTGATTATCAGCCTGATTAGGAATCTTTAATCTAAAGGATATCTTGATCGCATTTATATATGCAACGTTTTTTCTTGGAAGCCATTCAGGCACTCCATCTTTTTAGTACATGATGATGTAAAAAGGGGAATAACACATAAGAAAAACTTGACAATGGGAAAACTAACAACCTGATTAGAAAACGGGGAAAACATGTGAATAGAAACTTTAGCAAAGAAGTACAAGTGACAAATAGGCCTATGAAAAGATGATCTACTTTATATTTCATTAAGATATTGTAATTTTACACAACACAGATACAACTACACAGCTATTAAAAAATCAGAAACACTGTCAGTACCAAATGTGGTGAGGATGCGGAACAACAGAAACTCTCATTGATTGATGGCGGGAATTGGAAAACAGTTTGGTGGTTTCTTACAAAATTAAAAGTACTCATAGCAAATGAACCAGCAGTCATGCTACTTTGTATTTACTCAAATGAGTTGACAAGTTTATATAAAATAGATGTTTCCAGCAACTCTGTTCATGATTTCCAAAACTTGGAAGCAATCAATATGCCATTCAGAAGATGGACAGGTTAAGAAACTATGGTATATTTGGACAATAGAATATTATTCAGCACTAAAAATAAATTAGCTACTGGATCATAAAAAGATATGCAGGAAACTTAAATGCATGTTACCGAGTGAAAGAAGCCAATATTAAAAGGCTTAATACTATATGATTCCAAACATATGAAATGCTGGGAAAGACAAAACTATGGAGACAGTAAAAAGATAAGTTGTTGACAGGGGTTGGAGGAAAGAAGGAGTGAATAAGAGGAGCACAGAATAATTTTAGGGCAGTGAAACTATTCTGCATGATACTATAATTGTAGATATATGTCATTACACATTTGTTGAAACCTGCAGAATGTACAACACCATGAGTGAACCTTAATGTAAACTAAGGATTTTGAGAGATAATGATGTGTCAGTGTTGGTTTTTCCACCGTAAAAAATGTATCACGGTGGACCAGGTTATTGATGCCGGAAAGTCTGTGAACACGTAGGGTTAGGGGTATGTAAGAACTCTCTGTAATTTCCACTTAATTTTGCTATAAAGCTAAAAATGCTGTAAAAATTCAGCCCATTAAATTACCTTATACTAAGGCAAAAAAACATAGTATAATAAAATTCAATTAATTTTTCAACCAGAATAGCACCACACATGAAAATGAGTATTAAGCCATCAAACAAGCCTTGTATCTTCAAACTAGACACATGTAAAAGTATCACTATTATTGTTTGGATATTTTGTCCCCCACAACTCATGTTAAAATGTGACCTCCAATGTTGGAGGTGGTCCTAGTGGGAGGTGTTTGGGTCATGGGATGAATGTCTCATGAATGACTTGGTACTGCCCTCATGGTAATGAATGAGTTATCACTCTATGACTTCAAGCAAGATCTAGTCTTTTTAAAGAACCTGAAACTTTTTCTCTCTTTTTCCCTCTCTCTCTCTCTCTCTCTCTCGCCATGTGTCATGCTACCTCCTTTATTGACTGCCACCATGACTGTAAGCCTCCCAAGACCCTCACCAGAAGCAGATTCTGAAACTGTGCTTTGTGTACAGCCTGCAGAACTGTGAGACAAATAGACCTCTTTTACTTAGAAATTACTACATCTCAGGTATTACTTTACAGCAATACAAAATGGACTGACACAATCACCAGAAGGAATCTCCAAAGCTTCTGTTTGTATTAAACTTTTGATTTACATGTTACAGAATAATGAGAGTATTATTTTATATTATTTTTTGTTTATGTTTGCAATTGTGAGTATTCATATTTTTATATGCGTACCATACATTTTAAATGTTTTAAAATTCCAATATGGCTAAATAATATATTATTGCCACCAAAAATATTCAAACCATCATTTTTTATGTTCAGAATATATAACATTAATTTACAAAAAAAAGCAATAAAAATAGGCAGAAGTATTAGGCCAAGATGGCCAACTAGAAGCAGCCAGGAAGAGCTTCTCCCATCAGGAGAGACCAGACCATGAGGAAAACCAGCACACTCTGAGAAGATCTTTACAAGGAAGGTATTGAGAGTATATGAAGACCCTGCCACTATGTTGCTGCTGCACAAGCACATGTGCAGACACCACTACTCTGCTGCCACCAGCATGGAGGCAGACCCTGCTGCAACACTATCCCATTGCTGCCAGCACACATGCATAAGTGTGGACTCACTGCCCCTGCCCCAATGATGCACTTTTGCCGGCTCCTCTAATGGGAGTGTTACTATCGGTGGAGCAGGAACACCTCATTCCTTCCATCACAGCAGATGCTTAACCTCAAGGTGTCAGAGGAAAAAAGACATGAGCCATGAGCCAGCCACTGAGGATATGCTCTAACACTGCTGAGCTGAGGCATGCAGTGCTGAGCTAAGCCATCGTCCCCTGAAATCATGCAGAAATAAAACCAGTCAAATGAACTCAATTTATACAATAGTCAAACTTGCAAGGGCGTGAAAAGATTACAAAAGCAGAAAAGCCCCATCCAAATAGAGTGATTTCCAGCATTAAAGGAATATCAGGCTACACAGATGAGAAAAAAACATTCCAAAAATTACAGCAACTCAAAAAGCCAGAGTGTCTTCTTACTTTCAAATGACTGCACTAGCTTCCCAGCAATGTTTCTTAAACAGACTAAAATGGTTAAAATGACAGACATCCAATTCATAATCTGGATAGCAACAAAGATCATCAAGACTCAGAAGAGCAGGATGTGGTGGCTCATGCCTGTAATCCCAGCACTTTGGGAGGCCAAGGTGGGCAGATCACCTGAGGTCAGGAGTTTGAGACCAGCCTGGTCAACGTGGCGGGAACCCATCTCTACTAAAAATACAGAAAATTAGTCAGGCATGGTTGGGGGGTGCCTAAAATCCCAGCTACTTGGGAGGCAGAGACAGGAGAATAGTTTGAACCCAGGAGGCAGAGGTTGTAGTGAGACAAGATCGGGATGTTGCACTCCAGCCTGGGTGACAAAGTGAGACTCTGTCTTAAAAAAAAAAAATACTCAGAAGAAAGTTAAAATCCAATCCAAGAAATCTAAGGAATCCAGTAAAATAATTCAAGAGCTGAAAGACAAAATAGCCATTCTGAGAAAGAATCATACTGAACTGACACTACCGTAATTTTATAATAGAACTGGAAGTATTAACAGCAGAATAGAACAAGCAGAAGAAACGCTCTTAGAGCACGAAGACTGGTTCTTCAAATAAAGTCAATGTGACAAGAATAAATAACAAAAAAATAAACAGATCATCAAAGAAATATGGGATTATGTAAAGAGACCAAACCTATGACTCACTGGTGTCCCTCAAAAAGAGAGAGAACAAGCAAATGGAAAACATTTTTGAAGATATTGTCCACAAAAATTTCCTCAACCTTCCTAGAGAGGTCAACACTCAAATTCAGAAAATTCAGAGAACCCTTGCAAGATACTACACAAGAGGATCATCATGAAGACACATAGTAATCAGATTCTCCAAATTCAGTGCAAAATAAAAAATCTTAAAGGGAAATAAAGAGAAGGGGCTAGTCACCTACCTAAAAAAGGAAACCTGTTAGGGTAACAGGAGACCTTTCAGCATAAGTACTACAAGCCAAAAGAAATTAAGGGCCAAGATTCAACATCCTTAAGAGAAGAAAATCCAACCAAGAATTGAATATTCAGCCAAACTAAACTTCATAAGAAAAGGAGAAATAAAATTCTTTCCAGACAAATAAATCCTAGGGGAATGCATTACCAATAGATCTGCTTTAAAAGAGGTCCCTAAGAAAATGCTAGGCATGGAAATGAAAAATTGTTACTGACCAATAGAAAAACACACTTAAGTACACAGACCTAGAAACTGCAAAGGAACTACACAATCAAGTCTACCTAACAACCAGATAACAACATGCTGACATGATCACACTCGTGAATATTAATATTAACCTTGGACATAAATGGGATAAGCACTCTACTTAAAAGACACAGAATGGCAAGTCAGATAAAGAAGCAAGACCCCACTGTATGCTGTATTAAAGAGACCCATCTCACATGCAATGATACCGATAGACTCAAAGTAAAGGAATGGAGAAAAAAATACCAAGCAAATGGAAAACAAAAAAAGGAGCAGTTGTTGCTAGTCTTATGTGAGACAAAAAAGACTTTGTTGATTCATTTTCCAACAATGATTAAAAAGGACAAAGAAGGAAAATACATTATAATAAATGGTTCAATTCAACAGGAAGACTTAATGATTCTAAATATATATGCACTCAATATTGGAGCTACCAGATTTATTAAACAAGTTCTTAGAGGCCAACAAAAAGATTCAGATAACCAGACAAGTGGAATAATTAATATCATTAAAATGACCATACTGCCCAAAGGAATTTAGATTCAACCCTATTCCTGTAAAGCTACCAATGTTATTCTTCAAAGTATTAGGAATACAAACTATTCCCCAATTTATATGTAACAAAAAACAACCCCAAATATTCAAAGTGATCTTAGCCAAAAGAATTCAAAGCTGGAGGCATCACACTACTTGACTTCAAACTATACTACAAGGTTACGGTGACCAAAACAGCATAATACTGACATAAAACCAGACACATAGACAGATGGAACAGCTTAGAGAACCCAGAAATAAAGATGCATATCTATAGCAAACTGATCTTTCACAAAGTCAACAATAACAAGCAATGAGAAAAAAAAATCCCTATTGAATAAGTAGTGCTGAGACAACTGGCAAGCCATGTGCAGAAGGTTGAAACTGAAAACCTTCCTTTCACCGTATACAAAATCAACTCAAGATGGATGAAAGATATAAATGTAAAATCTAAAACTATAACAACTCTAGAAGAAAATGTAGGAAAAACCGTTGTGTACATAGGCCCTGGCAAAGATTTCATGATGTAGACTCCAAACACAACTGCAACAGAAACAAACATTGAGAAGAGAAACCTAATTAAACTAAAGAACTTCTGCACAGCAAAAGAAACTACCCACAGAGTAAACAGAAAACAGATAACTTACATATTGCATCACTTACCATTACAGAATGGTAGAAAATATTTGAAAGCTATGTATCTGACAAATGTTTAATATTCGGAATTCATAAGGAACTCAAATCAATAAACGAGAAACAAAATAAACAATGCCATTAAAAAGACAGCAGAGAACATGTACAAACACTTCTTAAAAGAATGCATACACATGGCCAAAAACGAGAAAAAAATGTTTAGCATGACTAATGATTAGAGAAATATAAATTAAAACCACAATGAGATACCATCTCACACCAGTCCGAATGTTTATCATTAAAAAAGCAGAAAACAATAGATCCTGACAAGACTGCAGAGAAAAGGGGACCCTTATACACTGATGGTGGGAATGTAAATTAATGTAGCTACTTTGGAAAGCAGTTTGGATATTTCTTAAAGAATTTAAAACGGAACTATAATTTGACCCAATAATCCTATTATAGTATATATACCCAAAGGAGTGTGTAAATGGTTCTACCATAAAGACACATGCATGTGTACATTCACAATAACAAAGATATGGAGTCAACCTCAATGCCCATCAATGATGGACTGCATAAAGACAATATGGACATATGCACCATGGAATACTATGAAGCCATAAAAAACAATGAAGTCGTGTCCTTTCAGTAACATGCATGCAGCTGGGGGCCATTATCTTAAGCAACTCTACATGGGAACAGAATATCAAATACCAGATGATCTCACTATTAAGTGGGAAGTAGTCACTGATACATATATGTGCAAAGAAGGGAACAATAGACACTGAAGCCTACTTGAGAGTGGAGGGTGAGAGGAGGGTAAAGATTGAGTACCTATCAGATACTATGTTCATTTCTTCAGTGATAAAATACACTGTACACCAACCCTCCATGACACACAATTTACCCATGTAACAAACCTGCACATGTAACCCAAGAACCTAAAATAAAAGCTGGAAGGAAAAACAAAAAATAAAACATAGAATAAATAAAAATGAGCAGAAGACTTGGAACAAATATTCACAAAAGAAGATATAAAAATATCTAAATACACAAAAAGATGCTTAATAGTCTTTGCCATAAGAAAAATACATTTAACCCAAATAATAAATGACGTTATCCTTATAAAAATAAAAGTTAAAAGCCTAATAATATCACATTTTAGTGAGGATTTGAAGCAAATGGAGCTCATAAATTGCTGGTGAGAATGAAAAATGCTATCGCCACATTAAAAAAACTCGGCCATTTCTCATAAATTAAATATACACTTATAGAGTGCTAGATACTTTTTTAAAATCACATTAGATACACTGAGCCAAAACACAAAAAGTTTCCTATTTTTATGTAGCTTATATTTGGTGCAAAGATACCATAAACAACACAAATCTATGAATTATGAAGTATATAAAGTGTCAATAATGACACAGAAATTTCACATCTATGTATTTATAGGGGATATATATATATAAATATATATGTAAAATATTAATCCTAAGGGAATATATATATATAAATCACCACAAAAACTTTTACAATAATATTATTAGTAGATTGATTAATTACTGTAAAAATGAAAACAATTTAATGTCTATCAATATGTTATCGGATTAACAAACTGTTGTGCATTTATATAATGGAGGATACTGCAGACAAAAATGAATAAACTTCTGTTACACACAACAGCAGGAATATGTCTGATATAATGGAAATACCATCGCATTTGTATCCACTACTTTTTATCTTGGAAGCCATTGAGGCATTCTATCTTATTGGCACATAATGAAGTAGAAAAAGGAATTAAAACTTAAAACATTTAAAACTTAACAATAAGAAAACTAATAAGCTGATTAGAAAATGAGAAAAGATCTGAACAGTGTGTGCATATGTATGTAAAAACATATCCATATATATGGAATAGACATACATATGTAATGTATCAATGTATAAAAATAGTTTATTGCTGGTAACATTTTGTGAAGTTCTAAGTAAAGCCAAAACTAAACTTACAGAAATAATAGAAATACTAGTGTTGTGATTTGACTGCAAGAATGACAGGGGAAATTTTCAAGGGTGATGGAAATGTTCCACATTTCGGCTATGTTGGAGATTGCATAAAACTCATCGAACAACTATAATCTATGCATTTTGTTATATTTAAATTACACAACAATAAAAATATTTTAAAGTATTTTATAAATTATGATGTAGTTTAAGAAGAAAAGTTAAAAGATGTTTTGACAAATAGTGAAAATTTAGAAAAATTTCATATCCTCTTGTATTATTTCCTTTGTAAAGGTCAAAACCTTTGATCATTTTGATGAATACATTATATTTGTTATTTTAAAATTAGTTGTTTTTATATTCATAATTATTTCTTAACTTGAAAAGTATAATTTATTTGTAGAATAGAGTATATCACAAGTATACATCATGTCAAAAAATTGTGCTTTTTTTTCTCTCATTATATTCCGTTTGATTAGAAAAGTGCCTAGCACTTGGCAGGTAATGAGCATTTATTTGTTGACTAAATGAAAGTCCAGATATCTCCTATTGGTACATTATGTTGTACAGTAGAAATAATCCAGGTCACAGATCACTCCCATGTAACTAGAATACTGATTCTGAATGTACCCATGTAGCCAGACTCAGATAAAGAAACAGATTAGCAGTCTCCAAAATCTCCCCTTGTCTTCCTTTCCATCCACTATGCTCTAAAGGGTAAATTAGATTCTTGTTTCTAACACCACGGACTAGAGCTTCAGACAATCTATGTGTATAGATTATCTTTAATTACTTCCTTTCTAATATCCCCTGCTTATTATTGTCAGTATCTTGCTAAGTTTATTTTAGTTTCAAGAAACGTTACCTTAATTTCAATTTCTCATCTTTCACTTGTATAAAACTTTAAGAGCTTCCTAACAAGTCTAATAATTTGAAGGCTTTAACTCACCCAGTCTGTTTTACCACCTTAAGCTCAGACTTTATTATTCTACTTATTTGTGTATACTGGTATATGTAGGTTTGTATGTGTATATATACTACGTATATACGCATAATATGTATGGACCTACATATATGTATAAAGGAATAGCTGTGTTTACACACACACACACTCATATTTATGTCACCATGTTCATACAGTACACTTTTTAAAAATCTTAATTATCTTCTCAATTTTTCTCCTCTTACAATGAATTGATTTACTAACTAAAATTCCACCTATTCTTTAAGTTTCACCTCCAATTAGAAGTCTTTTAAAATGTCATCCATTAAAGTTTATCTAATTCTCCACTGTGAACTCAGATAATTTTTTAAAATGTATTCATATATCTGGTGTCACTCTGCCCGGATTACAGCTGCTATGCTACGCCCCTAAGTAGGTTTTGAGATCTATGAAGATTAAGATCTTATAGGAGTCCATAATTTTCTATTTTCATAGTAATTTTCTTAGTAATCTTCTAAGTAAGTTGTTCTTTATATTTACCCCCATGTTATATAAAATAATTTGTTGTAATTGTTTATGCTACAGACGTCTCCACCTCACCTCACGCTATTAGCCTACAAAGGCAAATGAGGAAATCTGGATTTCAGTTAACACCTCTGATGATTATTTGGTACACTATATGTTAAAAACCTCTGCCCAAAGCAATAGGCCAATGCAGTCAGTCATTTACTCATAAATAAATAGCATAGAACCAAATTATACTGTTCTATTTGATGATCTATAACCAGGTTTAATGCAATCAGAAAATGTAGTTCGAATTTTATTTCTAAATAATAGTAGCCAATACATACAACATTTCCTATGTAATAGGTGCTTTTCTAAGTGCTGTGTATATATTAACTCACTGAAACCTCACCATAATTCAGAAGTGATTACTACTACTGTTACCATTTTACAGATAAAGAAAATGAAATCAGAAAACATTAAGTACTTGCTAAAGATTGCATCTCTTTTAAATCTGGCTGCAGTCTGTTCTTATAAACTGTACTGTACTGTTTGTAATGCATAAAGTAACATATATTTTATATAGTAAATATTATACATATAAAGAATCTGAAATTTGATCAAAGTTGTTATGGAGCATAGAAGACATAAAGTGTCAATTAGTTGATCACAGGAAAACCCAACACATTCTGTTTAGCCTTTTATCTGATCCCCAGATGGAAATCATTACTTCTTAGCAGTAGAAAACACACTCAGCCATTATTCAATCCAAATGGCTAGTTTATGTGAATTAGGTGCTTGCTACAATTATTACTCATGAAAGACTATCTGGTTTAAGGTAAAAAAATGTTTTTGAGAATTAGGATTAAAATGTTTCTCACTATATTTGTAAAACCAGAAAAACCCCCAAAGACAAACTTGGCCATGAATCTTAATCACTGGTATTTAATTTAGAACCATTATTTCTATAAACTCCATTCACGATTTGTTTAAATATCTGATTTTAGACATGTAAAATATTCAAATTCATCTAAATAGAATGACCATGCTATTCAGTAGCTTGTGTGAATAATTTAACTCAAAGGCTGTTTCACAACATTTGTATTATTATATAGTCATTATTTTTGGTCAAATTTACTTATTTATTTGTTGGTGAAAGGTTAACTGTGGTGTGAGGTTATCTTTATCACCTTCTACAGGCAAAGCACGTCTTATACCTTATCTCATATAAGCCTCATAACAAACTAGAAAGTAGATATTGCTTTGAGATGAATGTACCAAAGGTCAAAAAGTGACTTAACAAGCTGGTCACATAGCAAGTAATTTTCAGATCTTGGAAAGAAAAAAAATATATTTTTACAGAAAATAGGTATTTTTGAAATAGACTATTTCATAGATGATGATGATGACAGATAGATAGATGGCTAGAGATATAGGTAGATCACCTGTGTGTGTGGTGTGTATATGTGTTTGTATGTTGCATATCACATAAATATTATTCACATCCCAAATTCAGGAATTACTTATAGAGTGGCAATTTACCTTCATTTCTGATATCAAGAATATGAGTCTTGTTTATTCTTTTAACAAACTTTTATTGGGTACTTCCTCTGTGCTGGCACTATTCTAGGTGCTGCAAATCTTGAACCATACTGACAAGGTCTCTGCTCTTAAAGGCTAATATTCTTGGGAGGAAACACAGAGATAAAAATCATAGAATTAAAATTAAACTTTGCTGTTTTATGCAGACATAACAAAGGGTTCTTTACGTACACACATACACACATACATACAGCAAGCAAGGCCTCTCCAAGGAGATCTCATGAGGCTAACATCTCATTACAGGAAGCCAGGCTTATGTCCCTCACTTTCTAAGGCAAAGTCTGGTACACAATTTCTGAAGCAGAAGTAAGCCTGGCTCATTTCCAGGATTGAGAAAAAGGTCGATTTTATTTGAACGTAGTGGTCAAGGAAATACAACTATCTGTTTTGGTGAAATATTTTATCAAGCTTGTTTTTCTTAACACTGGAAAATCAATGGAAGATGAAATGCCAGTATCAGAAAAGTTACTAGTGGGCAAAAGAAGAACACTACAAATTTGCATTTTCTCTATATACAATTCATATTTCTTTTGATATGGAAGAGAAAAAAATAAAGTTTCATGCTGTAGTTATGCCTATCCAGATGCAACCTAACAGTTAAGCTTAGAGAAATCTTTTTGTGTCTATAATATGATAGCCTTTATAGGAAAAAGTGCATAAGAAAATACAGCAAATAATGAAAAGAGATAACAACATGGCCATTACTAGAGTAGTCAATATATATATATTTCTGAAGAAGAAAAAGGATGAGAAAAAGTTGATTTCTTTGGCCTAGGTTTGGACATGGACAATATTAGAAACATCAAGAAACTATCCCTTTTTTAAATCAATTTGAATTTGCTACAGACTTTTATTTAGTACATAAAGAACAATCTTTGCACCAACGATGCCACTATCTAAATATGAACACTAAAGATATACACATAATAAATATTTTGGTATTATTCCCCTAAAACAGTAGTGAATGGAGACTGAAAAGAATAGGAAGAGAACTGATAGGTATTTTCCTGAGAAATAGTGGAGACAGTTAAAGCTTTGAGATGGAGAAAATCATACATATATAATGACTTGAGAAACGAAAAGAAAATAGTAGCTGTGAATTCACTCAGTATCAAAAAGCTACCCTAAGCATAGAAAGAAGAGTTGAACAACAAAGGGTACAAGATATCTAAGAGGACCAGAAGCTATTACCAGAAGCAAGAGATATGAACTATAGCTCTTCTGCTGACCTCAGGCACCAAATTCCATTTGGACAGTACATTCAATATTGATGAGTCTGTTTTCCTTTCATTGACTATTCTGCCTTACAGTGTACTTTTGGGATTTTAAGCTAACAAGTACTATGAAAACTGAACTTGGAATCTAGGGCATAGTTGGACAAATCAATCATACACAGAAACACAGAAAAGCGCCTTGCTTACTAGAAAAAAATCCATAATTCCATTTCACAAGGCAAAAGAAATATCTAAATGACCTTTCCAAATAGGTCAAGTGAATAAGCACATATATATATATATATGTGTGTGTATGTATATTTTTTTCCTTCCTTCCTTAAGTTTACAGGCAATTGCTATACAACCTGAAGAAAAAGGCTAAGCTGACGTTTATCTACCCACTGGAACCAGCATATTCATAGATTCAGATATAAATAAGGACACTAGAGAGGAATAGATGAAAGTAAAGGAAGTAAGAACTGTCAGCATGAACTTACGAGACTACTTGACAAACTCAACTGTTCAGTTACTGGCATCTGAAAAAAAGGTGACTTCTGTAGTATACCTGCTCTCAGAATTTATAGAAAGGCAGGTTCATATTTGAGGAAAACAAGATATAGATCTTGTGGAAGACTAGGGAGAGAGAGAATAATCATTTGCACTTACTGATCTATTCTAATGTTAATACTGAAGACAAAAAAGTAGAGGAAAAAGTTTCTTAGAATTTTGAGTCAAACTGATAGAGGTGATGATAGCAAAGCAGAAAACTCACTAGAGAAATGAAATAAGTAAAACTGTTATCCATCTGGCCATCACTATGAGATGGTTTCAATTTGATGTTGAGAAAAGCTGACAGAACAAAAGGTGATATGTTTTATATGCGACAAAAATAACAAAATAAAACTATGTAATTTTAAAGAGCATTTTTAATAGCTAAAGATTTTGTTAAACAATGGAGCTAAAGTCATAAAACAAAATAATTTTATTAAAGCAACATATGTACTAGAAATATTTTGACTAATAAAACAAACCAAAGCAAAGTTAAATATAGCTACTTATAATGCATCAAATCAAAAAGTTCATGCTTGCATTTTTTCAAAGTACAGTGTTATAAGAATTTAAGAATCATAACATCATATACTAATTTCTCTAGTAAATATAGGTTGAGGTTTATACAAAGAGCTCACAATTCATAATTTTGTTTATTAATAATATAAAACCTAATAATACAAAAATATAAATATGGCCAATAATATTTATATATTTATGTATGTATTTACATATGTATGTTTGTGTTTATTTGACTAAATTTCTAAAACTTTCATTAGCATCTTCTACATACAGATATGGATTATGCTTTTTGATACTCTCTTTTTGAAAAATGTTTTTTAATCATCCCAATCAGCATTATACTGAAATTTGAGTAAAAGTCAAAAAATTTTATTACAGCAACATATGTAATATAAATATTATGACTAATAAAATAAACCAAAGCAAAGTTAAATGTAGCTATTTTAGAATGTACTCTATCAAAAAGTTCATGCCTGCATTTTTTTCAAAGTATAGTGTTATAATAATTTAATTTAACAATAATAAAGTCATGTACTAATTTATTTAGCAAATGCAGATTAAGGTTTATATAAAGAGCTGACAATAATTTTGTTTATTAACAATGTAAAACCTAGTAATACAAAAATGTTATGAGTGAATATTCTTGTCAAATTGAATTAATAATTAAATAAAATATCCCATGTCTTATCCTTTCAGGGTATTCTTTTTATTTAATTATAATATCTCAAATAATTATAAAGGAAAACACATTGTTAAAATATGTATATATATCAACATACATGTTTCTACTTAACACCTGGAGAAAGCCAAGTTAACTATATGTGAAAGTTCATAGTATGCAAATTTATATTTCATAGGCTTTTGGGTTAAAAATATATTAACTTATACATTTGGCTAAAAGATTAAATGGCCAATTCCCCTCAGAACTACTGTTAAATTCCATAAATTTTTTTATTCATTAATTAATTTTAAAACAAGTATTGATCCTAAAAACATAAACACATTATTCATTATTTTAAAAAATTACATTGCTGAAACGATGCAATCTGCATTTTTATCACATCATAAAAGTCTTTTAGAATTTAATCTTAGAATATCACTTCCAATCTCATTTTTCATTTTCTAAAACCTAGCCAACTTGTTTTGAAAACATGACAATTTTAAAAGAAATAATATGTTGTTGGATTACCAATAAAAGCTTAGGAATGGTAAAGCTTCATTGAATTAAACAGTGTAGACAAAAAGAGCTTCACAGATTAACTGTTGCAAGAAATTATCAAATTTGACTCATTTCCATAATTATTTTAGATTCTCCCCTAATGTTTAAACATGTTTTTATTTTGAAATACACTTCAAAATGATTGTATATAATATCAAGGAATACTAATAAGGGAATCAAATAGATTTCCATAATACATCGCTCAGCTTAATGGAGAGAAAATAATTACTGCTATAGTAACTGTGAAGTATGAAGGGTGCTCTTTCTCATTTGCATTAACTTCTATCCCTTTAGGAAGAAACACACTTCTAAATTGTATGTGTTTCTCTCATTCTTCTATTTATAATTTTCCACATATAAACATTAAGTGAAACATCAATTAGTTTTTTATTTATGTATGTTATGTAAAATAACTCATATTGTGTATTTATTCCTTCGTATTGTATTCACTCAAAAATATTTTATGAGATTCATCCATGTTCATGTATATACTTGCAATTCATTCATATTCACTCATACTGTGTAGTCGTTATATGCATATACAAGAATATATCAGTTCAATTAATGATGAACATGTTGATTTTGAAATTCTATTTTTGTTTTAAGTAATAATTTATATTATTATTATTTATAACCTTACTCTGTATTTTACAGATATTAACTCATTTTATCTATTACGACCATCTCTTAAAACACTTACAAATGCCTTCTGGGATACATCAAAATCATTTCCTCTGGAGTGATATTTTTGGAGAAGATTGCTGTGTCATGTCCGTATTTGCTAGGCAATGTCAAATTGGTTCTCAAACTGATTGCATTAATTTATGCTCCTATAGTTTTAGTGTTTCCTTTGTTCAACACTCTAGCCAACACTTGGTATTGATTCATTATTTCATGTAGATCTACTGGATATGAAATCTCATTTTGCATTTAACATTCTTGTGATAAATAAAGGTTGAAAATCTTTTCATCTTTTGAGTCACTGATGCTTTCTGCAGTAAGCCTGTTTATGTATCTTTCTCATTTCTCATTTTTTCTTATTGATTCAAATTATTTTTCTGTTAAATCTCAACTATTATAAATATTTTCTCCTACCTTGTGAATTTTTTCTTAACATATGCTATTACCATGATTTTGTTTTGTCTCTGGGCTTTTCATGTCTTTTAGTAAGAAAATAAATAAATACATAACAATGTTAATGTAGCCTATCTGATCTGTTCTTTTATTATTTCTGTTTTGTACATTTTAAAAAAAATTTCCTTCCATAGGACAGTAAATACCTTTTCAAAGTATTAAAATTTTGACTCTCCAATTTAAGTATTCAATATGTCAGGAAGTAATACTTTGTGAAATTTAAAACCGGGATTCATTTTCTCATTCTTTTATCGCCTTTTTCTTTCTTTCTTCTTTCTCTCTCTTTCTTCAATTCCTTCCTTCCTTTTTTTTTCTTTCTTTTTCATTTTTCTTTTTTTCACGAGCAGAAAGCTATCAGCACCATTTATTGAGGATCTCATCTTTTCTATAACAAACTGCATGCAATGAATACTCATACTTTTTATTCACATAAAGCTCCCATGTTATATTCCATAAGTCCATTTAACTCTACATGCAACTAAATAACCTAGCTTAATTTCTATTTATTCCCAATGAAACAATCCTGGTATGCCAATTACCCATATCTGGTTCTTTTCCTTAAATATTATTTTAAGTATATTGTACATTTTGCTTCTCTAAATATATTTAGAGGCAAATTTTAATTTGCATGAAATGATTATTGGAATTACATTGACTTAGAAGATCAATTTGGGGAGAATTTACATCTATTCATTATTAATTCTCACAGACAGAGAACATAGAATATACTCTATTGATAATTTCCATCAAGTTAATACAGTTAGTAACTTAAAAATGGAGGACTTGTATATAACTGGTTGGATTACATGCACAAATATGTTAACTTTGTTTCTATTAGGTATGTTATTTTAAATTAAATTTTATTTTCTCTCTTCTACTAGTTTTTATTTTTCAAATATTAATATTTTATTTGAAAAACTTATTAAATTCCTTGGTTAATTCTATAACATTTACATTTACTTACGGCATTTTTATGTAGACAACCGCAGTATGTAAAAACAATAATTTTCACTATTTTTTCTTCATTCCTTAAGTTTTATAATTCTTTTTCAGTCTTTTTGCCCTCTATTGAAGTTTCATTACATTTCAAAATGAGAATAAAAAGTTAGTTATGTTTCTTTTGTTTCTGTCTTTAATAGATAATGTCTAAAAAGTCACAAACAGACCTACTTTTTATAGACATTTGGTGAATAGATACTATAAAATTAAGAAAGTTTTGCACTTTAAAATTTGTAATAAGGTTTTTGTAATGGTCTAGTTCTAAATTGTAACTTTATCTGTATCTGTTATACATTATGTTTTTATTGTTGCTGGTATTTGTGAGTGTGCTTTATTTCTTTTGGTCACTAAAAATCCTGCCTATATTTATTCATTTTATTATTTCTTTACTGAGTCAACCTCTGACTTCGCTGGTTTCTATATTTTATATTTGTTTTTGTTACTTTATTTTCTGCACTTCTGTTTATGATTATCTTTCTCAACAGACTTTAGATTTGTTTTAAAGTTAGATGCTCAAGTCATTAATTTTTTCATGTACCAAGTTTCTAATATGAAGCATTTGGCTGCATCCCATAATGGAACTAAATTAATGTAACCACTTTCTCCTGTAAATTTTAGTTTGCTTATGAACTATGACCCAGTAGTTTCACTCTTAAATATAAGCCCTAGAGAAATACTTGTACAGGTGCAATAAGAAGTTTTTAAAATTGGATTAATAGCAAAAATTTTATTGTTACACATATATATGTATGCACACTCATACACATATATATGTATATGTATTCTGTAAATGTTAGGTGTAGCAAACTATAAATAATATTTAAGCTAGTTGATAATGTCATGTAGATTTTCTGTACCCTCACAGATATTGTATCTAACTAGTGAGGTTGTTGTGTTAAATTCCATGAAGATAATATGGATTTGCTTTTCATGTTCATAGTCAGCTTTTTTGTTTATTATACCTTGATGCTCTACTATTAAATCCATATTTAGTTGCAATTGGTATATTTTCTTTAAGAATGAACTGATAAATCATGACAATCATCATACACATTTTTTTGATCAAACATCATCTAATTATTGACTAAATTTGTTGAATTTGATTGTATACAAATTATCCCTCAAGAGTAATAAAAAATAAAGGCAAAAATTTTATCAATTTAACCCTAGGAATATTTTCCTTGCAACCCTGGCCTATCATATTGTTAGAAACTAAATTCCTATATGCATTACTCAGCTGCAAAAGAAAAGAGTATTAAGCATGTGTATTTCTTAGAATATTACATATATGTAACGACAGCATGCTTTGTTTTATCATGCTGTTATTGTTAAACAATGTTCTAAACATTTTTACTGATGGCAGTATTCTTGTGTCTATTAATCATTTTACTTCTTTATTTTATAATAAGAAAAATATTGCTGAGTCAAATTTTCATATCAAGAGCATCACTCTATTTTTATATTTTGTTTCTGAGGTAACAGAGAGGGATTATCTGATTTTGTACAGGTATATAGAAGCAGAGCGAAGAAAACACCAAGTATATTCTGCAGTATTTACTGAACTTGCAACAAGCTAACTCTAAGAGTCAGTATTTATTATTTTTGGTCAGTTCATCTCCTGCGTCTGTGTGTATGTGTATGTATTTGTGTGTGTCAGTGTTTGTGTATATGTTCTCAGAATCTGAAATTTTTGCTTTTCCTTGTTAATCTCAAGTTATTCTGATTGGTAAATGTTTGAGTCAGACAAATTTGAAAACCTGAATACAAACTTTTCTCTGGCTTATAATGAATTCATTGAATGTGATTATGTAAATTAACATTAATGTTTAATGAAAATAAACTTTGCAAAGTGCAATAATTTTATATGAAAGTGATAGAAAGATACATAAGGATTCCAGCCATAGCACAATACGATATTAAGAAAAACTGTACAGTTATGCTAAACCTTACATTTTATATACTTTTATTGATATTTGGGAGAACATTATGAGCATTGCTTTTTTTATTTATTAAAACTGTATTCAAATATTGTAATTATTTGAGGAAAGGAAAGGAAATTCTTGGCTATGCTTTTATTTCTTTACCAATTTTCCTGCTAAGCATATTCTTTATTTTTTCTCTTAACCTGGTGAACTACTATTTATCCTTGAAGTCTCAGTTCATTTGTTTTTTTTTACTTTTGAATTTTTATTCCTAACCCTACCCAAATTTAGCTTTTTCTTCCCTCTGGCAAAATAGTATTTTGTTACATATTTTAATAAAAAGATGTTTATTAATAAATTATTTCTTTATAATATATCTCATATTTATTTGAGTCAAGTGCAGAGTCTCATTCACTCAATTTCTGACATAAGTCTCAAAAACTGCTTGCTAGATTATTATTTTAATTATTCTTGTCTTTTAAATTAAGACATTTCTGCTGGGTGACAGCAGAATGGCAGAGTAAGGTCATCTGCCTATCCAATAAGAAGAAAGATTAAACATCAAAATTAGCATTTCAGAACTATTAAGAATAACCAAAGAATTGTAACAATACTGAGAGTTGTTTTGAGAAACATAATAAATCTTGGTAAAAATATTGAGTTTGAAGGCATTTAAAATAATCTCTAATTATTATCCTCCTTGACCATGTTCCATTGTGACCTAGCAAAATAACAGCCTCAAAAACAGGGTAGTCCTGAAAACCAGAAACCTGGCAGTTACAGGAGGGAACAAAATCAGTTTGGTCCTATCATTTTCTGACAGAAAGAATACATTCTGGTATTCTATTACACAGTATGATGACTACAGCAAATAACAAAGTGGTATAACTACATAGGTTGAAGAGAAGATTTTGAATGCTGTCACCACAGAAAAAAGATAAATGTTTGAAGTGATAAATATGGTGAATACAACAATTTGGCCATTATACAATATATACATGCAATGAAATATCACATTGTACCCCACAAATATTGTGAAATTGTATTGTAAAAACGTATTGTATTAGCCAGGCGCGGTGGCTCATGCCCGTAATGTCAGCACTTTGGGAGGCCGAGGCAAGTGGATTACCTAAGGTCAGGAGTTCGAGACCAGTCTGGCCAACACTGTGAAACCATCTAGACTAAAAATACAAAAAATTAGCTGGTTGTGGTCGCAGGTGTCTTTAATTCCAGCTACTCGGGAGTCTGAGGCAGGAGAATCACTTGAACCCAAAAGACGGAGGTTGCAGTGAGCCAAGATGGCACCACTGCACTCCAGCCTTGGCAACAAGAGTGAAACTCCATCTCAAAAACAGAAAAAAAAAAAAGTAAGGACCCATTATGAACAAGAAATACACGATAAAATAAATAACCAATTTCTTATTAGAAACTATAGAGGACAGAACGTGGTGAGTTGCTATATTCAAGGCGAGTGGTGAAATAAAAAGACTGGCAACCAATAATCCAGTCTTTTGTATCCAGCAAAAGTAATTTTTAAAAATACAGGAAAAATAACACACTTTCATATGAACAAAACTAAAAAACAAAACACTGTGGCTAGCACACCCACCTCCCATATAGAAAATACCAAAGAGTACTTTAAGCAGAAAGAGCAGAACACTGGAAAGTAGTTTATCCAACATGGAAATATCAAGCTCACCAGTAATGTGTATAAATATGTAAATATGAAAGACATAATAATAATATTTTTATAATAACTTTTTTCTCAGTCATTTAAAGATAACCATATAAACATAATTTTAAAAATGGGTTAATAGATTTTTATTGTATAAGAATGTCATTTGTGGGACAATAATAGCACTAAGGAGAGGGAAGAAAATAAACCTATACCAATAAAGTGGTGTTGTTGTTTTAAAATTAACTTTCTTTACTTCCATACTAGATTGTTGTACATTAAAGTAGTAATTATAGACATGGGGCCATTCAAAATAATAAATATACTAAGAGACATGAGAAGTATTTTAAGATCATACTCTAGAAAATAGCTATTTAATATAAAATAAAATGTTAGTAGAGGACTATTAAAGAGACATAAAACATAAAGAAAACAAATAGAAAAATAATAGAAAATAAGGCAAGTTCTACTTGTGAGAAATTAAGTATATGTATATAGAACAAACATTAAAATGAAAGGCAGAGGTAGAAAACATAAATTTTTAAAAAAATGATTCAACTATATCACTACACAAGAGATACACTTTAGATGCAAACTCAACTAAGTTAAAATAAAAGGAGGAAAAGGTACACTATGCAAACAGTAACCAAAAGAGATATGGATGGGATGGCTATTCTAATATTAGACAAAATGGACTTTAAGATGGAAATTATAATTGCAGAAAATATATAATGATTAAATTACTAATGACAATTTATAACAATTAAAGGGTCAAATAATTAGGAAGACATAAAAATTAAAAGCATATATGAATCGGTCATCAGAGCCCCAAGACAGTTGAAGTAAAACTTGATTCAATTAAAGGAAAAAATAACAATACATAAACATTTGTTGTTGATTTCAGTGACCCACATTTGATAATAATAAAAAGAGAAAAAATTAATATGGATATTAAAGATGTTAAAAAAAATCTTGTCCCCAGGATAAAACCTATTGTAAGTCACAAATAAATTCTCAATAAATATTAATAATTGAATTCATACAATGTATGGTCTCCAGAAAAAATAGAATAAAATTAGATGTCAATGAAAATATAAATTTGAGAAATTTATAAATATGTTAAAATTAAACAATGCAGTTTCAGTTTTCAATATGGAACGAGTCAAACAGAATCACAATCAAAATTGAAAAATAATTGGAGAGGAAGACGAAAATACAACATACCAAAGAAATTAAGTTAAAGTGGTACTAGAGGGACATTTATAGCTTTAGACACTATAAATCAAATCAATGACAAAACTTCCAGTGTAAAAGTAATTGAAAAGAAGAAAAAATCTGAATCAATGTTATAACAAAGATTACAGTTAAAAAAAGGAAAATAGAGAACAATTATAAAATTTAAAAAAGGTTTATTATTTTAAAAGATCAATACAATTTACAAAATTTAACTAGAATTACAAGAATAAAAAGAGTAGGCTCACATTACTAAAACTCAGAAAGAAAGAGGATGCATTGTTATTGACCTTACAAAAAATATATATAATGACATACACACACACACACACACACACACACACACACACACACAAATATATATATATCGATTTTTATGATGATGATAAAGACATACCCAAGACTGGAAAGAAAAAGAGGTTTAATGGAATTACAGTTCCACCTGGCTGGGGAGGCCTCACAATAATGGCAGAAGGCAAGGAGGAGCAAGTCATGTCTTGCATAGATGACCGCAGGCAGAGAGAGAGTTTGTACAAGGGAACTGCTCTTTTTAAAACCACCAGATCCTGTGAGACTTACTAACTTTTGTGTGAACAGCATGAGAAAGACCCACCCCCATGATTCAATTACCCTGTCATTCAACTCCCACTGGTCCTTCTTACAACACATGAGAATTGAATTGTGTGTAAAATGAAATTTGGGTGGAGACACAGCCAAAGCGTATCATTCTGTCCCTCGCCTCTCCCAAATCTCATGTCCTCACATTTCAAAACTAATCATGCCTTCCCAACAGTCTCCCAAAGTCTTAACTCATGTCAACATTACTCAAAAGTCCACAGTCCAACATCTCATCTGAGACAAGGCAAGTCTCTTCCACTTATGAGACCGTAAAATCAAAAGCAAGTTAGCTACTTCCCAGATACAATGGGGGTACAGACATTAGGTGAATACAGCCATTGCAAATGGGATAAATTAGCCAAAACAAAGGACAACAGGCCCCATGCAAGTCCAAAATGCAGCGGGGAAGTCAAATGTTAAAGCTCCAAAATGATCTCTTTTGATGTCATGCCTCACATCCAGTTCACATTGATACAAGAGGTGGGTTCCAATGGTTTTGGACAACACCTCTGTGGCTTTGCAGGGTACATTATCTCTCTTGGCTGCTTTTATGGGCTAGCATTGAGTGTCTGTGGCTTATCCAAATGCACATTGCAAGCTGTCAGTGGATCCAACATTCTGGGGTCTGAAAGACGTTGGCCTTCTTCTCACAGCCCCAGCAGGTGGTGCCTCAGTACAGACGGACTCTGTGTGGGGGCACTGTCCTAGCAGAGGTTCTTCATGAGAGCCCTGCCCCTGCAGCAAACTCTGCCTGGAAATCCAGGTATTTCCATACATACATTCTCTGCCATCCCAGCAGAGGTTCCCAAGCCTCAATTCTTGACTTCTGTGCACCCACAGGCTCAACACCACGTGAAAGTTGCCAAGGCCTGGGGCTTGTACCCTCTGAAGCCACAACCAGTGCTGTACCTTGGCCCCTTTTAGTCACAGCTCGAGCAGCTGGGGCAGAGGGCACCAAGTCTCTAGACTGCAGACAGAATGGGAGACCCTGGGCCTGGCCCACATAACAATTTTTTCCTCTAGACCTCCAGACATGTAAAGCGGGGGGCGGCTGTGAAGACCTCTGACCTGCCCTGGAGACATTATCTCCATTGTCTTGGGGATTAACATTCCACTCCTTGCTACTTATGCAAATTTCTGCAGCCAGTTGGAATTTCTTCTCAGAAAATAGAATTTTCTTTTCTATCACATTGTCAGCCTGTCAAACTTCTATGCTCTGCTTCCCTTATAAAACTGAATGCCTTTAACAGCACTCAGGTCACTTCTTGAATGCTATGCTGCTTAGAAATTTCTCCCATCAGATACCCTAAATCATCTCTCAGAAGTTCAGTGTTCCACAAATCTCTAAGGCAGGGGCAAAATGCTGCCAGTCTCTTTGCTAAAACAGCAAGAGTCACCTTTGCTGCAGTTCACAACAAGTTATTCATTTCCATCTGAGACCACCTCAGCCTGGACTTTATTGTCCACATCACTAACAGCATTTTGAGCAAAGTCATTTAACAAGTCTCTAGGGAGTTTCAAACTTTCCCACATTTTTCCATGTACTTTTGAGCCCTCCAAACTATTCCAACTTCTGCCTGTTACCCAGTACCAAAGTCGCTTCTACATTTTCAGGTATCTCTTCAGCAGTGTGCCACTCTACTGGTACCAATTTACTGTATTTGTTTTCATGCTGCTGCTAAAGACATACCCTAGATTGGAAAGAAAAAGACGTTTAATGGCATTCCAGTTTCAAATGGATAGGGCGGCCTCACAATCATGGTGGAAGGCAAGCAGGAGCAAGTCACATCTTACATGGATGATGGCAGGCAAAGAAAGAGCTTGTGCGGGGGAAGTCCTCTTTCAAAAGTCATCAGATCTAGTGAGACTTATTCACTGTTGTGAGAACAGCATGAGAAAGACCTGAATCCATGATTCATTTACCTTCCACTGAGTCCCTCCCAAAACATGTGGGAATTGTGGGAGTTACAATTCAAGATGAGATTTGGGTGGGGATGCAGCCAAACCTTACACACACACACACACACACACACACACACACACACAAGCACATTAATAATGGTTGCTGAATTTAGTGCCACACATTTATATTTATATATAATTTATATATAAATTTATATATTTTATATTAATACATATTTTTATATATTAATATAAAATATATATTGTATATTTAATATTTATATATAGTTTATATTAAATTTATATATAAATTAAATATATAAATATATATTTATTAATTAAATTAATAAATATATAAATATATATTTATTAAATAAATACATTTATAAAATAAATATATTAATTAAATATATAAATTAAATATATATAAATATAAATGGCTGTCCAGCAGCACCAAAAATATATAAACAAGGACTACAAGGGAGAGTTACACAACTTTTATTAATGACTTCAATGCAATGCACATATTTCTAGAAATACAAGCTACCAAAATTTACTCATCATAAACAGAAAATCTAAAAAGACCTATAATAAGCCAAAATGGCAAAGTAGAAGCTAGCTGGCTTTACTACCCACCACCCCAACTACAGAAAATCAAAACCAAATATACATTGCCAAAATTATCACCAGCAATATTCCAGAACTTAAATATGAGGAAAAGAGTTCCCTGGAACACAGAGAAATGAAAAAACTAGGAGCATATGGTAAGAGAATCAGACTTCCATATCTGCAACATTCTTTCCCCAGTCTGCCAGGCACCAAGCTTGGAGAATGTCCTCCCACTCCCAACTCATCAGATAACTACATCAGAAAACGTAGATCCAGGTAGACACCAGCTTCTACATCTTTTATTCCCTGATAGAAAATCTATCCCTGCCTTAACACACAGGAATTATTGTGAGGGCCTGAAGGGAGAAAACTTCTTGAAGACAGCTAGATACAGGGGAGAAGGTAGGACTAGTATCTCCAGGCAGGAAAACTTTCCTCTGTGTTTTGGCCAAAGAAGAAGTTAAAACAGAGTGGCTGTCTAGCAGCACCAAGCTATAGGAGATGAGTTTCAGGCCGGGCTCAGTGGCTCACGTCTGTAATCCCAACACTTTGGGAGGCTGAGGCAGGCAGATCACTTGAGGTCAGGAATTCAAGACCAGCCTGGCCAACAAGATGAAACCCTGTCTCTACTAAAAATACAAAAATTAGCCGGGTTTGGTGGCGTGTGCCTGTAATCCCAGCTACTGGAGAGGTTGAGGCAGGAGAATTACGTGAACCCAGGAGGTGGAGGTTGCAGTGAGCCGAGATGGCGCCACTGCACTCCCGCATTACAGCCTGGGTGACAAGAGCGAAACTCCCTCTCAAAAAAAAAAAAAAAAAAAAAAAAAAAGTAAGTTTCACAAGTCCTATAAGCACAAACTCCTAGCCAGTTTTCCCACACTGCCGGAATATTCCCTGGGGGACTTCTACCATTCAGGCTAGGCAATGCTCTTACCTTTGCTAGAGCTGAGGTAAACGCAGGGTTAAGGTGCCATCTAGTGCTGAAGAGGCGGCAGTGATCTTGGAAAAATACATTCAACAGGTATATTGCAAATAAATCTATATACAAACATATCCAAAAATCGAAACAAGCCAGAGAAAACTGGAATAAATAACTAATCCTTCAAATGTGAAGACATAGAAGTAAACGCAGAATAACAATATAAAACAGAGAACTATAAAACCCAAACCTCCCCAGACAAACGAGGAGACGGAGAATTATTGTAATGGGAATATGAAAGGCAAGCTGTCTGATCAAAAGTTCAAAATAGCATATTTAAGGAAACTCAATAATCCACAAAATAAAAAAGGAAAGCAACAGAAATTTATCAGAGAAATGTAACGAAGATTGAAATAATTTAAAATATAAAACAGAAATCTTGGAAGTAAAAAGTATATTTGCTATACTGAAAATTTTATTACAGGCTTTCAACAGCAAAATGGATGAATCAGAGGAAAGTCTTACTGAGCTTGAGGACAGGCTACTATAAAATACACAGAGAAGAAAAGCAAATGAAAAAGAATAAAGAACACATGCAGGATATAGATAATTACCCCAAAAGAAAAAATTTAAGAATTATTAGGATTTGGCTGGTCACGGTGGCTCACGCCTGTAATGCCAGCACTTTGGGAGGCCGAGGCAGGCGGATCACAAGGTCAGGAGTTCGAGATGAACCTGACCAACATAACAAAATCCTGTCTCTACTAAAAATACAAAAATAAGCTGTGTGTGGTGGCACACACCTGTAATCCCAGCTACTTGGGAGGCCGAAGCAGGAAAATGGCTTGAACTTGGGAGGTGGAAGTTGCAGTGAGCCAAGATCGCGCCACTGCACTCCAGCCTGGGTGACAGAGCAAGACTCCATCTCAAAAAAAAAAAAAAAAGAAAAGAAAAAAAAAAGAATTATTAGTATTCAAAATGTAGCTGAGGAAGAGCAAGGAATAAAAATTGTATTCAAAGAGTAATAACAGAAAATGTTACAAAATTTGAAAAAGATGTAAATATCCAGACATAGAAAGGTAAGAGATTGCCGGATTAAACACAAATAAAACTACATGAAGCAATGTAATAATCAAACTCTCAAATGTCAAGAGAAAAGAGAGGATTCTAAAAGCAGCAACAGACAAGAAGCACGTATATAAAGGGGCTCCAATTTGTCTGGAAAAAAAGCTTCTTAATAAGTAACATTCCACCATAAGGATGGAATAGGATAGCATGTTCAACATGCTAAAAAACAAGACTGCCAAACATGAATTTAGTGTCTTGAAAAACTATCTTTCAAACATGAAGGAGAGATAAAGTCTTTTCCAAACGAAAGCTGAAGGAATTCTTTACCACCAGACCCATCTTTTAAAAAATGCTGCAGAGTTATTCAATCTGAAAAAAAGCAAAAAAAAAAAAAAAAAATTAAAAAAAAACCTAATATGCAAATATAAACCATTTGAAGGTCTAAAACCTAGTGGTAAAAGTAAATACTGAAAAAAACCTCAAAATATTCTAACACTATAATTATGTGTGTAACCCACTCATAATTTTATTACGAAGACTAAAAGGCAAATCTATCAAAATCAATAATATCGACATCAATCTGTTAAGAGATAGGCAATATAAGATTACATGAATTGATGCCAAAAAATAGGCCAAAAGGAGCAGGGGTTGGGGGTGGAGCTGAAATGCAAAATTAAATTTTTTTTTTGTCGTTGTTTATTTCTAGTTTTTCTTTATAGTCAAAGAAAAGTTGTCATTTGTTTAAATAACTTGTTATACCATTAACATGTTTTTCTAAGTCTCGCAATAACCACAAAGCAAAAACATATCATAAATATACCAAAAAAAAGCACTGAATTAAAACATAGTTTCAGAGAAAATCTCTTAACCAAAAAAAAAAAAAAAAAAAGGCAGTAATAGAGGAAGAAAGAAAGAAAGGTGATTCAATACAACCAGACAACAAGTAAATAATGGCATTGGTAAATCCTTACCTATCAATAAGAACTTTGAATGTAAATGTATTGAATTCACCAAGAAAAAGTTATAGAGTGGCTGAATGAATAAAGAAACAAGACCAAACTATATGCTGCCTTCGAAGAAAACTGCTTCATCATCTATAAAGAAAAACACAGACCAAAAGTGAAGATATGGAAAAACACATTACAAGGAAATAGAAACCAAAGGAACAGGAGTAGCTATACTTATATCAGATAAAATAGGCTACAAGTCAAAGACTATAAAAAGCTACAAAGGTCACTATCTAATGAAGAAGTCAATCTTGCTACAGCATGTAACAAACAGGTATCTGTGTACCCAACACAGAATTCAAGTATTTAAAGCAAACACTAACACATCTGAAAAGAGAGATGGACTCTAATACAATGATAGTAGGGGATATTAACATTACACTTTCAGTAATAAACAAATCATCCAGACAGAAAATCAACAAAGAAACATCAGAGTTAAGTTACACACTTGACTAAATAGGCCTAACTTAAATTGACAAAATATTTCACCTAACTGGTGCAGAATACACACTATTTTCAACAGGATGTGAAACATTATACACATTATACAAAACAGATCATATGCTAGGTCAGGAAACAAGTCTCAACAAATTCAAGAGTCCAAATTATATCAAGTATTTTTTCTGAACACAAAGAAATAAAATTATAAATCAATAAGAAGAGAAATCTTAGAAACCACACAAGCACATGGAAATTAAACAACATGCTCTTGAATGACTATTGGGTCAAGGAAGAAATTAAAAAACAAATTCTTGAAATAAAATGAATATGGAAACACAACATAACAATATCTATAACATACAGCAACAGCTGTGCTAAGGGGTATGTATGTTTATAGCATTAAACATCTATATCAAAAAAATTCAAATTAACAATTTTATGATGCAACAAAGAGAAATAGAAAAGCAAAAACAAATCAAACCTGAATTTAGCAGAAGGAAAACATTAGTAACAATCAGAGCAGGAATAAAAGTGAAATTGAGATTGAAAACGCAATACAAAAGATCAATTAAAAGACAAGTTATTTTTAAAAGATATGCAAAATTGACAATTCTTAAGCTAGACTAACTATGAAAAATAGAGAAGATATAAATATTAGATAAAATTAGAAATGAAAAAAAACTCATAACAACTGATATCACAAACACAAAACAAAATCATTAGAAACTATTATGAACAACTATACACCAAAAAATTGAAAACCTGAAAGACATGAATAAATTGTTTAACATATAAAACTTACCAAGATTAAATCTTGAAGAAATAGAAAACCGGAACAAACCAATAAAAATTAATCAGAGAGTGTATTAGTTCATTTTCATGCTGCTGATAAAGACATTCTTGAGACTGGAAAGAAAAAGAGGCTTAATTGGACGGACTTACAGTTCCACATGCCTGGGGAAGCCTCAGAATCATGGCGGGAGCAAAAAGGCACTTCTTACATGGAGACAGCAAGAGAAAATGAGAAAGAAGCAAATGCAGAAACCCTTGATAAACCCATCAGATCTTGTGAGACTTATTAAGACAAGCCACCATGATTCCATAACCTCCCCTTGGGTCCCTCCCACGAGATGTGGGAATTCTGGGAGATAAAATTCACGTTGACATTTGGGTGCGGACACAGCCAAACCATATCAGATAGAAAAAGTAGTAAAATGTCTCCCCAAAAATAAAATAAAAATAAAAAAATAAATCCCAGAACCCGGTGACTTCATTGCTGAATTTTACTGAACAATTAAAGAAGAACTAATACCAATTCTACTCAAACTGTTCAAACAAATTTATGAGGAAGCAATACTTCCTAAATCATTCTCTGAATCCAACAATGCCCTAATACCAAAACCAGACAAGGGCAAAACAAAAAAAGAAAGCTACAGGTCATGGCCGAGCAGGTGACTCACGCCTGTAATCCCTGCACTTTGTGAGGCCGAGGCTGACCGATCAATTGATGCTGGGTATTCCAGACCAGTCAGGCCAACATGATGAAATCTCCTTTCTACTAAAAATACAAAAATGACCAGGAGCGGTGGCTCACGCCTGTAATCCCAGCACTTTGGGAGGCCGAGATGGGTGGATCACAAGGTCAAAAGATCAAGACCATCCTGGCTAACACGGTGAAACCCCGTCTCTACTAAAAATACAAAAAAATTAGCCAGGCGTGGTGGCGGGCTCCTGTAGTCCCAGCTACTCAGGAGGCTGAGGCAGGAGAATGGCGTGAACCTGGGAGGCGGAGCTTGCAGTGAGCCGAGATGGCGCCACTTGCACTCTAGCCTGGGTTACAGAGCGAGACTCCGTCTCAGAAAAAAAAAAAAAAAAAAAAAAAAAAAAAGGCCGGGCGCGGTGGCTCACGCCTGTAATCCCAGCACTTTGGGAGGCCGAGGCGGGCGGATCACGAGGTCAGGAGATCGAGACCATCCCGGCTAAAACGGTGAAACCCCGTCTCTACTAAAAATACAAAAAATTAGCCGGGCGTAGTGGCGGGCGCCTGTAGTCCCAGCTACTCGGGAGGCTGAGGCAGGAGAATGGCGTGAACCCGGGAGGCGGAGCTTGCAGTGAGCCGAGATCCCGCCACTGCACTCCAGCCTGGGCGACAGAGCGAGACTCTGTCTCAAAAAAAAAAGAAAAAAAAAAGAAAAAGAAAAAACAAAAAAAGCCGGGCATGGTGGTGCACTTCTGTAATCACAGCTACTTGGGAGACTGAGAATCACTTGAACATGGGAGGAGGAGGTTGCCATGAGCTGAGATTGCACCATTGCGCTCCAGCCTGGGTAACAGAGCGAGACTCAGTCTCAAAAAAAAAAAAAAAAAAAAAAAAAAAAAAAAAAAGGAAAAAGAAAGCTACAGCCCTACAGCCTTGATTGACATATACACAAAAATCTCAACAAAATACCAGCAAGCCGAATTAAACAACATGTTAAAGAGACCATCCACAATTATCAAATGGGATTTAGCCCACGGATGCAAGGATAATTAAACATAAGCAAATCAATAAAAGTGACAAATTGCATTAACAGAACCAAGAACAAAAAAAAAAAAAGATTATTTTAATAGGTTCTAAAAAAACATAAAATAAAATAAAATTCAATATTCCTTTATTATAAAAACATTCAACAGAATGGGTATGGATGGAATATAGGTCAAAAGAGTACAGGCTATATATGATATACTCATAGCTAACATTATACTGAATAAGGAAAAATTGAAAGGCTTTTCTGCCACTTTCCCCATTTTTATTCAGCAAAACACCAGAAATCTCAGCCAGAGCAATCAGATTAGAGAAATAAATAAGGGGCATCCAAATTGAAAAGGAAGATGTCGAATTTTCTTTATTCCTGGAAGACATGATCATATATTTAGAAAACCCTGAATTAATTTTTAAAATTCGACAAAGTTGCAGGTTATAAAATCAACAGAATAATCAGTAGTGTTTGTATATGCCAACAATGAACAATCTGAAAGAGAAATCAAGAAAGCCATTTTATCTAAAATAGCTACAAAAATATAAAACACCTGGAAAGATATTAAACCAAATAAATAAAAGATTTCTGCAAGAAAAACTATAAAACACTGAGGAAAATAGTTGACAAAAAAATGGAAAGATATTCCATGCTCATGGATTAGAAAAAGTGAATTCATTAAATATCCAGTACCCAAAGCAATCTATAAAGCCAATAAAATTCCAATCAAATTGCCAATGACATTCTTTACAGAAAAGTTAAAAAAAATTCTAAAATTTATATAAAACCACAAAAGACCCAGAAGAGCCAAAATACACTATTTTGGCAAAACAGCATCACAGTTGCATAAAATCAAACACATTGGCTAATGGAATACATTACAGAAACCCAAAATAAACTCATGCATTTATACCTAACTCATTTTTGACAAAGGTACCAAGAATATACATTGGGGAAAGGACAGTCTCTTCAATAAATTGTGCTGGGAAAACTGTATAATCATATGCTGAATAATTAAATTGGACCCCTATCTCTCAGCATATACAATAATCATATCAAAATGAATTAACAGCTTAAATCTAAACTTCAAACTATAAAAATACTAGATGAAACATTGAGGAATTGCTCCAGGATATTGGTCTGAGGAAGATATATTGAGTAAGACCTCAAAAGTACAGGCAACCAAAGCAAACATTAACAAACAGGATTATATAAAGATAAAAAGTTGTACACAGCAAAGGAAGCAATCAACAAAGTGAAGACATGGCCCACTGAAGCGCAGAAAATATTTACAAGCCGGGCGCGGTAGCTCACGCCTGTAATCCCAGCACTTTGGGAGGCCGAGACACGCGGATCACAAGGTCAGGAGATCGAGACCATCCTGGCTAACACAGTGAAACCCTGTCTCTACTACAAATAGAAAAAATTAGTTGGGCATGGTGGTGGGTGCCTGTAGTCCCAGCTACTCGGGAGGCTGAGGCAGGAGAATGGTGTGAACCCGGGAGGCAGAGCTTGCAGTGAGCCGAGATTGTGCCACTGCACTGCAGCCTGGGCGACAGAGCGAAACTCTGTCTCACTAAAAAAAAAAAAAAGAAAAAAGAAAATATTTACAAACTCTTCATATACCAAGGCTTAATAACCAAAATATAAAAGAAACTCAAATAGCTCATTTGCAAAATAAATAAATGATGCAATTTAAAAATGAGCAAAACGTCAGGCATGATGGCACAAGCCTGTAATCCCAACACTTTGCAAGGCCAAGACCAGATAATCACTTAAGCTCAGGAGTTTGAGACCAGCCCTGGCAACAGTAAGATCCCTTCTCTATAAAAATAAATAATTCGCCAGGCATGGTGGCATGCGCCTGTAGTTCCAGTCACTAGGGAGATGGAAGTGGGATAATCACTTTTGCCTTGGGGGTAGAGGATTCAGTGAGTCATTGTTATGCTACTGCACTCCTGCCTGGGTGACAGAGCAAGGCATTATCTCAAAATAAATAAATAATAAAAATCTAAGTAGACATTTCCTGAATAAAGACACGTGAATGACTAACAGCTTTATTTTAAAAATGCTCAACATCACTAATCATCAGAGAAATGAAAATTAAGACCACAGTGAGAAATCATCTCACCCCAGTTGAAATGACCTTTATCGAAAATGCAGGCAATAACAGATGCTGGCAAGAAGCCAGGCGCAGTGGCTCATGCCTGTAATCCCAGCACTTTGGGAGGCCGAGGAGGGCAGATCATGAAGTCAGGAGATCAAGACCATCCTGGCTAACATGATGAAACCCCGTCTCTACTAAAAATACAAAACCAAAATTAGCCAGGCGTGGTGGCGGGTGCCTGTAGTCTCAGCTACTCGGGAGGCTGAGGCAGGAGAATGGTGTGAACCTGGGAGGCGGAGCTTGCAGTGAGCTGAGATCATGCCACTGCACTCCAGCCTGGGCGACAGAGCGAGACTCCGTCTCAAAAAAAAACAAAAACAAACAAACAAAAAAACAAATGCCGACAAGAATATGGAGAAAGTGGGACACTCATACACAGTTGGTAAGGATGTAAATTAGCCTGACCACTATGAAAAACAGTAAGGAGTTTCCTCCACAGTCTACAAATAGAACTAACATCTGGGCTGGGTGTGGTGGCTCACGCCTATAATTCCAGCACTTTGGGAGGCCGAGGTGGGAGGATTGCTTCAACCCAGGAGGCACGGGTTGCAGTCAACCAAGATTGCACCACTTCATTCCAGCCTTGGTAACAGACCAAGGCCCTGTCTTAAAAACAAACAAACAAACAAACAAACAAAAAACCTACCATACAATTTTACTACTGGGTATACAACCAAAATAAATAAAATCTATTTATCTGCATTCCCATGTCTATTGCAAAATTATTCACAGTAGCAAACATGTAGAATCAACCTAAGTGCTCATCAAAGGATGAAAGGATAAGAAAATTTGTATATATACACAATGGAATACTACTCAGCCATAAAAAAGAATAAAAACTTGTCATTTGTAGCAATATGGATTGAACTGGAGGTCGTTATATTAAGTGAAATTGGGCAAGCACAGAGAGACAAAGATTATATGTTCTCACTCCTATTTGGGAGCTAAGAAAGTGCATCTCATGAAGACAGGGAGTACATTGCCACTCCCTCCAGGAAGGGTTGGGAGAAGGGAAGTGAAGAGAGGTTGATAGTGGGTACAAAGTGCAGTTAGATAAAAAAAAAATCTAGTGTTTGATAAATCACAGAGTGACTATAATAAATGACAATTTATTGGATATTTAAAATGCCAAACAGTAAATAATTCAAATGTTCCTAACATTCATAAAAATAAAAGTTTAATGGGATAGATATCCCAATTACCCTGATTTTGTAATTAGACATTAGATGAATGTCTAAACATCACATGTACCCACAAAATATGTACATCTCTTCTATATTAATAAAAAATTAAGAACCATTAAAAATAGACTTACAACAGTGAAAGAGATTCATTTAGTAATGAAAAGACTTCCAACAATTTAAAGCCCAGGCTCAGTTGAGTTTACTGGTGAATTCTATCAAATATTTGAAGAATATTTAATTCATATAACTAAGATTTAATTAGAAAAATTAATGTCAATTTTTCACAGATATTTTCAGAAAATAGGAATGGGGGAACCCTTCAAAATGTATTCTATGAGGCCTGCTTTTGCTTGATACTAAAACCTGCAAAAGACATCACAAGGAAAGAAAACTACAAACCCATGTTCTCATACATGTAAATTAAAAATCCTCAATAAAACATTAGAAAGTCACATTCCAGCAACATATAAAAAGATTATATACCACTACAAAGTGGGATTTATTCAAGGAATAAAAGTTTGTCTCAATGTACAATTATCAATCATTGTAATAAGCCATTATAAATAATGAGATAAAAACCACATGATCCTCTCAATAGACCCAGTAAAAAGCATTTAATAATATTCAATATTATTTCATGATAAATTCTCAATAAACCAGGAATGGACCTTGTCTAAGAGATGAAGCTATCTATTTTAAAAACTCACCTTTGGCACGTTTGTTATTGTTAAAACACTGAAGCTTTACCACTAAGATATGAACAATTCAATATTGAATAAGAATAAAACTGGAGGAATGACACTATGCGACTTTAAGACTTACTATAAATCTGCAGTAAGTGTACAAGAAAATGTGGTAATGATTAAGAAAAAAACAAACAGAAAAATAGACTAAAAATAATGGAAAGTCCAGAAATAGACCTACAAAAATAAAATTATTTGGTCTTTAGGAAAAAGAGCAGATGAAATACAATGTGAAAATGATAGTATTTTCAACAAATGGCACTGGAAAAATTGAACATCTATATACAAAAATAAATAAATCTAGAAGCAGATCTTATATCCTTCAAAAATTAATGCAAAAGTAACCATAAACAGAAATGCGAAAGGCAAAAATATAAAACTCCCAGAAGATAACATAGGAGAAAATATACATGACCTTGGGTATGGTAGTGGTTTCTTTTTTTTTTTTTTTTTTTTTTTTTTTGAGACGGAGTCTCGCTCTGTCGCCCAGGCTGGAGTGCAGTGGCGCGATCTCGGCTCACTGCAAGCTCCGCCTCCCGGGTTCACGCCATTCTCCTGCCTCAGCCTCCCGAGTAGCTGGGACTACAGGCGCCCGCTACCACGCCCGGCTAATTTTTTGTATTTTTAGTAGAGACGGGGTTTCACCGTGTTAGCCAGGATGGTCTCGATCTCCTGACCTCGTGATCCGCCCGCCTCGGCCTCCCAAAGTGCTGGGATTACAGGCGTGAGCCACCGCGCCCGGCCGGTAGTGGTTTCTTAGATACAACACCAAAAGCAAAAAATAAAATCCTGAAATAAATAATTGATTATCTTGACTTATTAAAATAAACATTTCTGATGTATAAAAGGCAATGTCAAGATAATAAGAGGGCAAGAAACAGAGTGAGAGAACACAATTCCAAAAGACATATGTGATGAAAGTCTTATTCAAAATGTACAAAGAACTCTTAAAATTCAACAATAGGAAAATGAACAAACTAGTAAAAATTAGCACACACCTCAGCAAAGAAGATATACAGATGATAAGTATATAGAGGATGTTCCACAGTATATGTCATTAGGGAAATGCAAATTAAAAAACAATAAGATAACATTATACATCTATTAGAATAGCCAAAATTTAAAAATCTGGTACCAAATGCTGGGCAGAATGTGGAGCAACAAGAACTCCCTTTCTTTGGCAGTGGGAATGTAAAATACTATAGCCATTTTGGGACAGTTTGGCAGTTTCTTACAAAAGCAAATGTGCTATTACAAAACAATTCAGTAATCATGCTTCTTGGTATTTACCCAAATAAATTGAAAACTTACCTACACAGCAACCTGCATTCAGATACCTGTAGAAACTTTATTCATGATTGCCAAAACTTGAAGGGAATCAAGACATTCTTCAGTAGATGAATGAACAGTTGCACATGTAAACAATGGAATATTATAAACTATCAAGCCAAGAAAAAACATAGAATTTTTTTTTTAAGTAGAGATGGAGATTTTGCTGGTCTCAAACTCCTGACCTCGAATGATCCACCTGCCTCAGCCTCTCAAATTGCTGGGATTACAAGCATGAGCCACCATGCTTGGCTGGAAGATCTTTAAATGCATATTACTAAGTGAAAGAAGTGAATCTGAAAATGTTACATATTGTGTGTTTTAAACTATATGAAACTCTGGAAAAAACAAAACTTTGGAGTCATAAAAAAGGTCACTGGTTGCCAAGGGTGCGGGAGAAAGAGATACAAATAGACAGATCATAGAGGATACTTGAGACAGTGAAACTACAGTTTTTAATACTAGAATGGTGCACACATGTAATTATACATTTCTCAAAAACCATGTACATCAAGAGAAACATTTATGTAAACTATGGGCTTTGGGTAATAACAATGTCTAATTGTAGGTGAAACAAAACATACCACTTTGGTGCTGGTTTCCACATGACAGAGGTTGCATATATGTGGGTGTAAGTAGGATATGGGGCTCTCTGTACTTCCTGGTCAATTTTGCTGTTAACCTAAAACTGTTCTATAAAAAAATCTATTTTTTAATGGGCAAAGTAGATATTTCCCCAAAGAATATAAACAAATGGCTAATAAGCACATGAAAAGATGTTCATCATCATTAGTTATTATGAAGTCACAACTCAGAAGCACGAGATGCCACTTTACACCTATTAGTATGACTATAACAGAAAAGACATGCAATAACAATTTCTCCGCCAAGTTAAAGAAATATAAAATAAAAGATAAGTATATCTTATTTAACTCTATGAAATAGTAACAGTAGATCAGGAGCTACTAGTACTCTTTTTTAAAGTTAGAACTTAAACCTGAAAATATATGTCCTGCCAAACATCAAAGAGATAGTAAAGCTAACCAAATGTAGGCGAGAACACGTAGAAATCAGATATCTCATAAGTTGCTGATGGAAATCAGCACATTAAAAGCACTTTTGGGCCTGGGCACTTTGGGAGGCCTTAGGCGGGTGGGCCACGTAAGGTCAGGAGTTCAAGACCTGCCTGACCAATATGGTGAAACTCCGTCTCTACTAAAAATACAAAAAATTAGGTGGGCATGGTGGCATGTGACTATAGCCGCTACTCGGGAGGCTGAGACAGGAGAATTGCTTGAACCCGGGAGATGGAGGTTGCTGTGAGCCAAGACCATGCCACTGCACTCCAGCCTAGGTGACAGAGAAAAAAAAAACAGACAAGAAAAACACTTTTGCTGAACTGCAGAAGTTAGACATTGAATTACTATAGCCCCAAACTACAACTACAAAATATGTACCACAAATAATTGAAAACACATATGCACACAGTAACTTGTGCATAAATGTTTATAGCAACCTTATTCATAACAGTCCAAAAGTAAAAACAACACAAATGTTAATCAAGTATATATGTGTGTGCCTATCTATCTACCTACCTTAAAAAGGAATAAAGCATTAATACATGTTACAATGTTGATGAACCTTGAAAACATGGTAAGATCAATAATTCAACGAAAACAAATTTTCTTATCATATGATTTAGTTTACATGAAATCTTCAGAACAGGCAAAATTGTAGAGATAAAAGTTAGATTACTTGATGGAGGCAGGAATGGTGTGTGACTAGAATTTGGTACAGATTTTGGAGGGCATGCTATGGTTTGAATGTGTGCTCTAAAACTTTGTGTGGGAAACTTAATTTCTCTGTCTTCATAAATAAAGCGTTAATAAGGGCTCTATTCTCATAAATGGATTAATGTCATTTTGACAAGAGTGGGTGTATTATCCAGGGAATGCCTTTGTCACAAAAGTGAGCTCTCATTCGTTTTCTTGTTCTTGCCTTTTTGCTTTGTAATGCCTCCTTTATGTTATGACACGGTGAGAATTCTCTCACAAGATGCCAATGCCATGCTCTTGGGCTTCCCAGTCTCCAGAAATTTAAGCTAAATAAACCTCTATTCTTTATGGAGTACCTAGTCTGTGTTACTCTGTTATAGCAACATAAAATTGACTAAGACAGAGAGTGAGGAGATGATGATAATATTTGAGAATTAGAGAGTGGTGATAGTTTCACAAGCTTGTAAATGACTAAATGTACTGAATGACATGTGTTAAAGGAGAGTGATATTTATGGTAAATAAAACACAATCTATGTATGTATATGTACACATTTATATATAAATAAATTTATATATATAAATTCATATATATACATATGCATATATAGATTTACATATGAATTTTTATATTTTATATATACATTCATACACACATATATGTATACATATATACATTTATATATACATGTATACGTTTATATATACATGCATACACATACATATAAATTTATATATATAAATGTGTACATATACATACACATATGAATATATACCTTTATGCATATACATGTACATATGTATATATAGGCACTCTTGTTTTCTTCATAAACATTTATGCATATGAAGAGAGAGCATCATTTTGATGTTGTAGCTTTGGAATCAGTCTTTCTGGGCTTGAATATGGGACATCCATTTCCTAGTAATGTGATACTAAGCTAATTATGTAACCTCATTAAGTTTCAATTTCATCATCCATAAAATAGAAAAGAAAAATGCTATTCTGTCAAGATTTTTCTGAAAATTTCAGTATATGTTAATAAAAGATCTTCCAATCCACAGGCATTAGATATCATTCCATTCCATTTATTTTTGTCTTCTTCAATTTCTTTCTTTTTTTTTTTTTTTTTTTTGTCTTGAGGCGGAGTCTTACTCTGTCACCCAAGCTGGAGTGCAGTGGTGTGATCTTGGCTCACTGCAAGCTCCACCTCCCAGGTTCATGCCATTCTCCTGCCTCAGCCTCCCGAGTAGCTGGGACTACAGGCACCAGCCACCACGCCTGGCTAATTTTGGTTTTATATTTTAAGTAGAGACGGGGTTTCACCGTGTTAGCCAGGATGGTCTTGATCTCCTGACCTTATGATCCACCTGCCTCAGCCTCCCAAAGTGCTGGAATTACAGGCGTGAGCCACCGTGCCCGGCCTTCTTCAATTTCTTTAATCAATGCCTTATCATTTTCAGGATACAGATTTTTCACCTCTTTGCTTAAATTTTTTCCTATGTATTTTATAAATCTTGATAAAATCATGGTTTTAAATTATTTTTCCAACAGTTTGTTGTTAAAGTATAGAAACACAATTTCTGTTTGTACGATGATTTTGTAAATTGCAGCTTTTCTGATTTTATTCATTATAATGTCCATAATACCCAAAGCAATCTGCAGAGTCAATGCAATCCCTATAAAATTTCAATGGCCTTTTTCCAAAAAATAGAAAAAAAGTCAATTCAAAAGTTCATATGGAAGCGCACACACACACAAACATGAATAGTGAAACCAATCTCGGAAAGAAAAAAGCTGGAGCTACCACACTGCCTGATGTCAAACTAAATTACAAACTTATAGTAATCAAAAGAAGATGGTGCTGGCATAAAATGAAACATACAGTCCAATGGAACCGAATATAGAACTCAGGAATAAGCTAACCAATGTATGATCAATTAATTTTTGACAAGGACATCTAAAAAATAAAATGGTGAAAGGAAACCTCATCAATAAATTGGGCTAAAAAACCTGAATATCTGCATGCAAAAATGAAATTGGACCTTTGTCTTACACTGCATACAAAAATTAACCAAAAATAAATTAAATATTGAAATATAAGATCTAAAACCATAAAACTCTTAAAGAAATCATGGAAAAATTTTCCCTGACAATTTTTTAAATATGACATCAAAAGTGCAGCCAACAAAACCAAAAATAAACAACTGAGACTACACAAAACTAAAAATTTCTACACAGCAAAGAAAATAATCAAGAAAATTAAAAGACAACCTACAGAATGGGAGAAAATATTTGCAAACCATATAATTGATAAGGGATCAATATGCAAAATACATAAATCTTACAAAACCCAACAGCAAACAACAAACAAAAAACCCACAACCATCCAAATAAAAAATGGCCAAAGTGTCTGAATAGGCATGTTTCCAAAGAAGATATACAAATTGCCTACAAATATATGAAAAGCTTCTCACCATCACTCATTATCAGAGAATGCAAGTTGAAACCACAATGAGGAATCACTTCACACTTGTTAGGATGGCTATTAAAAAAAAAAAAAAAACAACAAGAGACAAATGTTGGTTAGGGTGTGGCGAAAAGGTAACCCTGCACACTGTGGTGGGAATGTAAGTTGGTAGAATCATATGAAAAACATTAAGAAAATTCTTCAAAAAATTAAGAATAGAACTCTCATACAGTCCAGCATATATTCTGGGCATATATCAAAGGAAATAAGTATCTTGAAGAGTATCTGTATCTTCCTTGTTTATTGTGATATTATTCACAATAGAAAGATATGAAATCACCCTAAGTATCCATCAGTAAATGGATGTATAAAGGAAATGTGGTACATATATAATGAAATATTATTCAGCCATGAAAAAAGAATCTTGTTATTTATGAAAACACAGAGAACATGAAGTATGTTATGCTAAGTTAAATAAACCAGACAGATAGAAGCAGAGTAGAATGGTGGTTACCAGGGGTATCAGAGAGGGTAATCATAAGATATTGGTCAAAGTATAAAACTTTCAGGTGAATAAAAGCATTGTGGGGATCTAATATACCACATAGGTGATGACGGACATGTTAATTAATTAGATTGTGGTAATCGTTACACAATAATATACACATCAAATCATCACATTGTACACCTTTAATATATATAAACTTTATTTTTCAATTAATTATTTAAAAATAAATACATAAATTAACAAATATTTGAATATCTTAGTGAAGTATCAATTCTTACTTTGATGGGAAGAATAATGTCTTATTCGTATTGGATGTTAAAGCTTCATCACATAGATGATGCACAAAATTTAGCCATTTTTACCATTCCCCCAGAATAAAGTTCTATGACAGAGAAGCAACCCAGAGTTGATTCTTTTGCTAAATAGCCACATGTTCGGTCAGAAAAAATGGCTATCAAATTACAAATTTGACAAAAATATTCCCCGATTTAAAGGATTTCAATATCTACCTAACACTTGTGAAGCCTATCTAATGATAACTTTACAAAAGTATTGATTTTAAAATATTTATCAAACAACTTCAGGGTTGTTTGATAAATTTTAAGCTTCCTTAAAAGTATCTTCAATACTACTAAACATAAAATGTCAAGTTTTCCATAATTTAAGACATTCATTATTCTATTATTACCTGAAGCTGATGGATTTGATTCCCAATTTAGAAAGAAAGAATTCTGACAACGCTGAAAAAGCCAGGTAGATCCAAAGGACACTTATTTAGATCACTGTAGTCTAAAGAGGACAGTAATAATATTCTTCATCATTTAAATCATCCCTAGTATATTGCACTTGCTGCTGTCTACTTAAAGATGCTACAAAATTTTGACTCATATAGAGTAATAAGTTTTACCTTTATTCAGCTTAGACTTCTGTGAACAGCATAGTGGTAGGGGATCTAAGAGAAAATGATGACACAAACTTTAATATCTTGCCTGAAAAGAATCTTGGGCAAACACTGAACTGAGTGTGTTTGTTGTGAAGTATCATGCATTTGACTGGCAATCAATTGTTCTAGTTGTAATTAGAACAAGTTGGGGAAATAAAATGCCATGCAACATCAATTCAGTGAGAAAAAGAAAAGTTGATTTTTAATCAAAAGAGGCAAGCTGAATTTTTTGAGAGATCTGTTGAGCTTTGTTACTCTCTAGCTGGAAACTTACGGTTAATTAAACCCTCCAGAAATATTTCATTTTGTTTATATACTAAAGATACAAAAATGCCTTAAAGAGTCATTGAGATAATTAAATTTTATCATATATATAATGTGTTTATAATTGTGCATGATATACAAAATTGCATGATATACAAGTTGCAAAATAATTGCTTGATGTATGTATAAATTAGTTACTTTTACACTGGTACTGATACATTTTCTCGGTCTGAAATGGCATTCACTCTTTTGAACTTTCTGCAGACCTTCTATGTTTTCAGGGCAACTTTAAGCATGTTGTTTTGTTTGAAAATTCCTCAGAAATTATAACTTTGAACACTCATACACATATATATTTTCTATACTAATACATGTATGTATTTTAAATTAATTTTTGGACAGGGAGAGGTGGCTCATGCCTCTAATCCCAGCACTTTGGAGGCTGAAGTGGGCAGATTACCTGAAGTTAGGAGTTCGAGACCAGCCTCCCCAACATGGTGAAACCCTCTCCCTACTAAAAATACAAGAAATTAGCCAGACGTGGTCGTGGGCATCTATAATCCCACCTACTTGGGAGGCTGAGGCAGGAGAATCGCTTGAACCCAGGTGGCGGAGGTTGCAGTGAGCCGAGATCACTCCGTCGCACTCCAGCCTGGGCGATAAGAGCGAAACTTTGTCTAAAAAAAGTATTTTTGGACTTAAATAGCTGTCATCTTCAACTTGATGCTTACCTCTGAAGGCAAGAACCATAATTTAGAAAGTTTGGTTGTTTCCGTAGTGTCAGGAATGCTTTCGGCATTAATGTTTCACATAATGCTAGGTTGGCTAATATTTGTTATTGATTAAATATGGACTCAAAATTATCATTGCTTCTACAATATTAATCTGTTCCTAAGTACCATGGAAAAGTAGACAAAGACATGCACTGCCCATTGATTTGGTGAATGTACTGTTTTCTATTCCAAGCAGAAAAGAGAAGTAGAAAGAGTTTACAGTCACATTTAGGGAGATGTTGCTCAAAGGATCTGTAACTACAGTTAGATAGGAGGAATAAGTTAAAGGGATCTACTGTACAGCATGGTGCTCATAGTTAAAGACAATACATTGTTTTATTAAAAAATGTTGACAGAGTGGATGTTGTGTTCTCAGTAAAAAGATGATAACACTACGAAGGAAAACACTTGTTAATTAACCAGATTTAACTACCACCATGTGCATATACTTCACAACACTGTGTTATACATGATAAATGCATACAATTGTATGCCAATAAAGTTAATTAATTGAAAATATTTTATGGTTTTTATTAAGGGCTAGTTTAATTTTTCTGAATTTTGACTTGGTATAAAGAGATCTGGAGTGGCTGCGCATCCCTTAGAGCTTCATATGGATGCATTACATTAGAGACATGAGGTTGATTGGCAGGATGAGTGAGAAGTGGCTAGCTTACTGGAAGTCTTTATGAGATATAGTACTCTAGAGAGTATAAAATAAACTCTTTGAAGAATCATGGATCTAAAACTACATCAAATTTGGGGGGTTAAAATGGTCAGCAGTGTGCTGGGACATCCTTTTCAAGGTAAAAAATATTGCAATTTATACTTTATACATCGAAGTAGTGTCAAAATTGGTGGGGCACTTTGAATGCTGGAGGCAGTACATTGCACATCTAAGAATAATACCCTGGATCATATATGGGGAGATAAAAAAAAAATGTGCCTGCTTTTGGGTGGAGCCCTGCTCTGCAGCAAATCTGGGTGGCCAGGAAAGCAACTCTTAAACATTCTTTTGGAGGTGTTGGTGGTTGTCGGAAAAAAGGGGGTGCACAATTTGTGGCAATTGTGTACATTTTGTGGATCCCCCGGAGGAGATCCATAATGCAAGTTGATGATTTATGTAGCAAATTCCTGACCCTCTAGCAGAAAATTAAGAGCCTTTTAAGAAAAAGCTTCTGAGACCTACTGAGCCCTGATATAAACAGAAAGCCTCATTATAGGACATCAAGTGCCCATGTGCAGCTGGTGCTATAAATTATGATCCATGTACTGTCAGATCCATTGAGTAATAAGATCTGAGGACAGTAACAATCCATAGTATGGTGGAGTTGGTTTTTCCAGGATTAAGCAACGTAAGAACTGAAGGAAACAAAAATTGCATGACTAGGAAGTCCAGAGATTCATGCCATATTCCACTGTTGTATCAGAGGCCTTCACTCAGCTCATAATTTTAACTATATTTCAGATCCTACCTCACCAGTTGAAGAAAGAGGAAAAGGCCTGCACATAACCTATGAATTAGTTGGCTTACTTTATGAAAGCCTTTCACAAATGAATAGGAACTGTACTAGAGCCTTAATCAGAAGTAATGTTGAAAGATATTAACAAGAGAAAATCCTCCTGATAGGCATAACTTCAGAGGGTGCACATTTTTGTGGGCCATGTTTATAATATATGAACTCATAAACAGAGATAAATTCGTTAGCAAGCTGGTCAGGGCTTGGGGGGTGGGGAAATGGAAAATCCAGTATCAAGAAGATCAAAGGTAGATGTATATGGATGAATATATGAAAGTAGGCAAAAGTGGACCAGTGAACATCCCTCAAAAAATATGAACTAACCAACCAAATTAACAAATGATCAGACCAGTTGACAACAGACTGTCTGTTGTGCTGGCATAATGGACATGTGAAGAAAATGGCCACAGTAGCAGAGACAGGACTTACTGGTGCAAATTCATACCCCTTGTTACCAAGGTAAGGCTTTCTGCTGCTACTTCTAGATCTCTACTATCCTAGCAACAGACACTAACACTATGCCTATGATGTGCTTCAATGTCTTGAAGAGATCCACTGTCCTCATGATTTCAGTTTGACTACATTGGAACTCTTCAACCCTAGAAACAGCTTTTTTTTTTTTTTTTTTTTAGAAAATTACTCTGTGGTTGAGTTTGTATGGGCCTCAGTTGGCACTACAACCTAATGTTTTACAGAGAATTTGAACCGTAAGAATTGTATCCTACTTAATGTTCCATCAGGCTAGCAAATGTACTTTATAGCAAATCGGATGCAGAACTAAGCTTGTAAAATAGGAGTCACTTCATGATATAACTTTTGGGCTACCCAGAATCTGCTGGCCTGATAGTTCATAGGGAAGATCTATCGAAAGCATGATAGAAGCACTAGTTCAAAGGCAATACTCTCCCAGTATGGGGTTCTATCCTTCAGAATGCAGTAAACCCAATAAATCAGAAAATTCTATATGTTGATGTTTTCCTAGTAAGAAATATGTGTATGTATGTAAGTGTGTGTATGTGTGTGTGTATATATATATGTATATATGTAAGACATGTATATATGTAACTATATATAGGCAAGTAGGAAATATATGTATATAGAGGAATCGAGGTGCTCAAGGTTCTAAATACAATAGAGTCAATATGAGATATATATTCTGCCATTAAATAAATGCTTTATTCTTGATTTGAATCAATTTATTGTCCAAGCAGGTTTTTCTGCATGTCTGAAAAGCAATTCATTGTCCAAATTAGGTTTTCCTGGTGCATGGATATAATTCTCATATGATTCTCAAGAATAAACACTTCCTAGCTCCAAGGGGATGTTGTGTAATGAGAGACTTGTAATTTCTCAACTCCTCAATATGTCGGTCCCGGGGATATAAGTGTATTTCTCTCATATGTCATGAAAACCATTAACTATAAAAATCTTGTGTCTGCAATTTGCCTTGAGAATATGATATAGTGGTATGATGCAGGAGATATGATCAGAACAGAGATTGGTCCAAATATGAATACTATTATAGAGTTTAAAAAAACAAAGCTCACTATGTAGACTTCTTGTTTGGCATCTTTTTTAGCTGTTTTCCAATACTACAAATATTTCAGGTATCCCAAAAGTCTTAATTCAATCATTAAAGCAGATAAGTATTGAACATCTACTATATTCTCAGCATTATATAAAAATAATTAATACAGAATTACAGCCAAGAGAAAATTATGTACTTATTCTATAGTGATTTTTAAATGGTGTTAATAGTAAATGTTCTATTTTGTAACTAGTTCAGAGGAAAAGAAAATCATTAAAAATTAGGGAATAACTTTTCTAGGGCCCAGTAGACGCCATCTAAATTTAAAATTAAAATTCTCTTCAAAATGACCAGATTTAGTTCTCTATCTTTATAAGTTACATTTTATTTTGCTTCCCAGAGTCTTTAGGTGGTCTGAAATGTAGAATTTTCTTTTAGAGTCAATCATTAGTTTCTCTGCCCTTATGGAACTAAAGCAAAAGTACCCACCTCTATTTGTTATTTTTGCTTCAACAGGCTACTGCCCAGGGCCTCTTCATTCTCCAAAGATTATTCCATTTATATTACAGTGATTTGTTCAGAATAAATCATTCATAAGAACCACTTTATTTCCTTTTCAGGCAATAAGGTAGAAATTTCACTAGAGGAGGCAAAATCACTTTTTTTTCTGATTTCTTAAATTCAAATGATAAACTCCACAGGTGCCTCTATCACAGAATCATTGGTTTAGAAAGGACACTTTTTTGGTGTGGTGCTAAGCACTGAAATAAAGTCTTTCTACAAGGTCGCCATGGTAACATGCATGCATCACCTGTCCTGTTCACATTTAAAATTTGTATTCTGATATCATGCATATAAATATTTGTTCTAAAAATTTCCGATAACTGGTACTACATTTTGGTATTTTTAATGAGTTCATAGTACAATTAAATTAAATTACTAAATTAACTATTTATAAACATGTATGCGTAACTAAGAATCTACTGAGCTCATAGAAACAGGTGTAAAACATGTTGGTGATTTGTAGCACTGTATAATTGTGCACTAGGCAAAATTCTAAAACTATATATGGTTGATCAGTTTAATTCAGTCCTTTTGTGGTAAACTTATTCGCATAAAGTTAATAGAAACAGTGAGTTCTGCTGGAAGAGCTTGCTCAAGAGTGAATCAGGGCAATGTTGTTACTGCTACAGCTGTTTCTACTTAAATCACGAATAATACTATAAATATACAGTTTAATGAACGGTTATTGTGTGTCATGTCCTATGCTAAGCACTTAACATAGTTATACTTTTTTTTTATCATTAACAAGATCACTCTGATTTACAAAGAAAAAAGATTTACAAAGAAAAAAAAAACATGGAGGCTTAAATGTTTAAGTTCCTGCCCAATGTCAAGTTGGAAATCTGGAATTCAAAAAAATTCTAACTGCAAAAACCGTATTTTCAACTTCGTGTTATACTTCCCTTTCAGAAAAATTCTTATGGAAGCTCATTGGAAAAAATGCAAGAATTGAGTTACACACCAGGAAGTGCAGACCTCTCGGAAATGTTTAAAAAAGTGGTGTGAAAGAAAATGCCATATCCAATTTAAGAAACTGTGCCCTGAGTATTTCATTGGGTATTATTTTTAATTAACAAATTGTGAGTATTGTAACAAACAATTATAGATTAGCAGTAAAACTGTATACTGGGAACTATTCTGTGATAAATAACATTATGTTAGTGTCTCCTTGAAAAAAAATACTTACGCCCAGCATTCAAAAAGTGTATGTGTCATAAAACCATTTTGTACTTGAATCTCATTCTGCCACAATCTGACCCTTTCAGTCAGAAGAGACTTTTGCCCTGCTTCATCTCTCTCTGAAAGATTTATCACCTCCTCACATAACTTATTTCCTGCAGCAAATATGGCTGTGTTCTGTCCAATCCTACTTCAGGGCAAATATATCCACTAGCTGCTAAAAAATTTGGCCACTAATGGATTATAGCTTCAAATGTCAATTGAAATTGCTTTGGCCAAAGGGATATATCTAGCCCAAAGTTGCATTTTCACCCTGTAGCCAATTAGTTTTCCATGATGCAGAAATTCAAAGCAGCAGCCTTACTTCAATTTGAGACAACCGAGAAAGGCCAGCCTAGCTCCCAAGCTCCCTATGTGATTGGCTGAGGTCTCACGGGCAACCACGTTACTGGTTAGCTTCTTGCTCTTCCCAATCCAGCCTCATCCACTTCCTCAAAGATTAACTTACAGAGGCTTCTAAGTAAACTTCTTTACGAAATACTTTATCTCAGGGTAGGAATTTCTTCAATCAGTATAGGCATGGAGCAAAAAAACCTGTATCTTTTCTTTAACATGTAAATAATCAGCTGTTATTCCTAACTCATGTCTGTGATATTCAGCCTGAGAGGAGAGTAATTATCTCTTAATTTTCCCTCTTTTCTACTGTCTTTGATATCCTTACATGTATTAAAATAACACTAAAAATAACTTCAAATTATGTTTCTCAGATTTAGTTAATCTTTTTGCCCCTCGGCTCTTACATCCTGTACTTTGTCCCTAGTTTTCAATTTCTGATCCTTTATCTTGTTGTTTTAATGTGAGCATCAACTTTCTGAGAAGAATAAAAATTCTTACTTATCTTGCAGTTAACATTAAAATGCACATGCCAGGATACCTAGTAATTCAGATAGAATCGCACACAATAAGAATATAGCAATGTCCACCAATGGACAAATGGGTAAGAAAAATGTAGTAAATATAAGTGATGGACTACTATTCAGCCATATCAAAGAATGAAGTCCTATCATTTGTGACAGCATAGATGAACCTGGAGGACGTTATGTTAAGTGAAATAATCGAGGCAGAGAAAGACAAATGTTGCATTATTTCACTCGTATGTGGAACTGTAAAAAGATGATCTTGCAGAAGTAGAGAGTAGTATGGAGGTTCCATGGGCTGGGGTGGCTGGGCATAGGAGTTAGACAGATATTTATCAATGAATACAAATTTCCAGTTAGAAAAATAAGCTCAAGATGTCTATCGTACAACATAGTGACTCTAGTTAATAATGTATTTTATTCTTGAAAAATGAAAAAAAATGAAAGAGACAATATCAGTGGATAAATATGTAATGTTAATGTTTCAGCCAAAATTTTCTTAAGTCCTGTAATTTCTTGGGCCCTAGTGTCCTAATTTATCTTTTTTCCAAAGTAGCTTTGGTGTTAAGGTCCCATTATTTAAAGTTCTTATGATGAAAAGATATTCAATTTTCCTAGAATTGCATTTATCCTACTGTAAACATCCAATTACCAATGCCAGCAAATACTACCAAATTGTAAACTTTGACACTGAAAGCTCAATTAAAACAATTTAATAGGTTCCATTTCAGTAGTTCATGTGACATATGTATCACCATATAGAGTTGGTTTCACATGCCCAGTTTTCACAATGCATTAGGTTTATCACTATTATTTTATGCACTTTTACAAATAATTTCTAAACATTTTGGTCCTAAATCCAGAAAAATTTATACCACAAATTAACACAAATAATAGTAATTTATCATTGTAAATGTTTTTGAGATATCCAAAGTATTACCTAGGCTACATCATGCCATGCTTTCTTTTTTGTTCTGTGTTAATTGCATAATAACCAAAGAGAAGAAACATCGATGTACCCATGGTTAATTTTGTAGGTAAGATGCAAGATGCTAAAATAGCAGTCAGTTTTTAATTGGGGTTTTTCCTTGGCTTTCGTTTAAACACGGTCAAAAAAATTATTTCACATGAACCCTTCCCTCAACCGAAATAGCAAAATAAATTTATTAATAACTGCTGCAGATTTGTATTGGTGGCAGGGCAATACTAGACTTGCAATCAACATCTTAATTCAGGCAGGAGAGAAAATATTACTTGAAGACTCTATTTTGTCCCATTTCCATATCATTCTACTGTCACTTACACAGCCATGTTTGGTCTCTTCAGAAAATAAAACTTACTTAATGCTTTCCAGTCAGTGGAATTCAACTGATTTTCTACAACCTTCACTTAGCAATCTAGAAGTTCCTCACAAAACAAAAAGAAAACAAAAAGAAAAAAACTTGTCTCACCTTCCGAGTGTTTGATTTCCACTGTTCCATGGTAGCTTAGAATACTGCTTGCTGCTGCAGGTCTTTTCAGACTTCTCTTTTTATCAATGTATTTACTTTTTAAAACATCTCTGGATCAAAATAGTGACTGTGCCTAGGACTAATGAAGAATCAGGCCCCTCACAGGGCCTTATCCCCAACAAATCTTTTTGCAAGTCCTCCTTATCTGGTGCTCCAGGAGTCAGAGATAATGACATTGATAACTCACTGATGATTTCCCTTGTTTAATGAATTGTCCTTTGACTAGCATTGCTGGTTTAACAGTCCCCCTATAACTTTTAAATCCTTTGCTAAAGGAAGTACGGTGATAGAGACAGAAAGTCCCATAGATACTTCACCTGATCTTTCTTCTTTGCTAGATCACATCTCTCTCTCTCTCTCTCTCTCTCTCTCTTCTACACTCTACACTTTATAAGTCTTAGCTCTGTCACCTTTCTGCTTTGTAAACTGTTGATTGTAACTCTGACAAAGGCTCATATTGATCTTCAGAACCTCTGCCATCTTTGTATCTGAACTGTCTTTGCCCTAATCTTTAGGAACACCATTTCAAAGACAGTATTTTCTTATTAATCAAATATCCAATCTAATCTGATTTTTTTGTTTCAATTTCTGCTGGAAAAAGGCGAGGATTTCTCAAAACTGTGGCACCACCTATTTCTACACCAAATACAGATGTTCTAGGAACTGTCATGGTGCTGGAAAATGTGGGATTTAGTATGCTGATAAGTGCATAATGAGGTTGTAGGTGAAACCCAGCTCAAATCCAGTGCCACGTTGGGTCCAGCTTATTTTCAGGGACTTATCAGTCCCTAGCTTATGCAGCTATTTCAAGAGTTTCCTTTTGCTAGCCATGTGAAACTGCTGCCTGAAATTTTCTATTCTCCTGCAACCACCCTGCATTATTCCCATTTCATACAGAGTGTATTAGTTTGATGTAGTCCCTCTTGTTTACTTTTGTTTTGTTGCCAGTGATTTAATGCCATAACAAAACAAATAATAAGCATTGTAAAGACCAATATCTAGGAGCTTTCTATGTTTTCTTTCCATTTAAATATTTAACCTATTTTGAATTAATTTTTGTATGTGATGGAATATAAGGGTTCAATTTTATTGTTTTGCCTGTGAATGAATGTTCAATTTTCCCAACCTCATTCATTGAAGACACTAATTTTCCTTTTGCACATAGTAATAAAAAGACATGTATATGTCAATTTATTTTGTCTTCCCTCTTTTAATGTTGCTTATAATGATTTTTTTGGGGAATAATATTTAGAACTTGAGTCAATATTCTTCAAAGTGGTTTCTAGCTTAGCTCTAGAGTTGATAAATGTTTTTCCTACATAACATGCTCACTTTATCCACTTTTAAATTTTTTAATTTATTGGTTTATTTTTAGAAACAAAATAACTTTTAAATATAACACATATTTCTGGTGTGTTTTGCTTGATAGTTATCTAATTCTTTGACCTCCAAACGGAGCCAACTATCCCAGCATTTTAAATTGACAAATATTCCATTTTACTTTAAAACTGTATTGCACATAAAATGTTCACACTTAGGTATACATATTTTACTTGAAACTGAATTGTATCGATTCTGAGTTATTTTGATTATTTTAATTACTGCATATTACTCTCAGATTGAATAATATTTCTTTTAATTTTTCACATTTATTTTAAATAGTCTATCTTTAACTATGTGATAGCTAGTAAAAGGCATCCTTCTAATATTTTTCCAAACATTTTTAAGTTTAATCTTTTCTTTTCCAAAAATAGTCCTATAAAGGAGATGTTTTATTAAGATTACATTTATTGGACATTTATTTCAATAAAACAATGAAAAATGTTTTATATTGTTAGCTGCATGTTCTCATAGAATTTTAGAAAACTTTATCTTACTCAAATATTTTAAAATGTCAGAGACATGTTACTCACCATCAAGAGTCCATCTACCTATATCTCATTGATACAGCATCATTATGCAAAGAGTGAGATACCAATAAATCAATAAATGTCTTGGTTAAATGACTTTATAACAAATGAGTATGTTAACAGAATATATTGTGGACTGATTCAGACACATTTACCTTGGTTTATTCTTTTTGGAACAGAAGAAGAGGGAAGATGTTTTTAACAGACAGTAATATTTAGTAATCATCTAGCAAAAATTTGTCAGAAGGTTTACTGTTTTTTGTGTACATCATAAATGCCTACAACCATAATGTTATTATTTTTCTTCATTTTATAAATAATTCAATTAAAAAGTTTCAGGGCAATGAATTAAACCCACCTCTGAATAGTTTCAGAGTTGAGGTTCTTTCAAATATAGGAATGTAGAACAAATCTTAGATTCTTAGTTACAAAAACTTTCATTTTTTTATTTAGAACACAAAGCTACTCAAGATGAGAACTGATAAATTTAGAATATTTCAGTATTAAAGTTAGCAATAACTTTATCTTATTGATATTTATCTCTAATTAATGTAAGTAGCCAAAATTTTAATATTAGATTTCTTTCACAAATCTTACTTTTTAATTTTGAATTAAAAAAGGATTTAGATATCAAATATTTTTCATCTGAATCTACCTTTAAAAATGTTACTTCCTGCCTTTCTGGGTCCTACTGCTTTCTAACATGACTAGGATTGTTTCAATAAATTAATATTCATTAAAGAAGCTGAGGTTGAAAGAAGAGTATATATATTGAATGAAAGTTATTTTTTATTTTGACTTATTAACTAATTAATTACTTATTAAGCCTGTGGTTTAATAAGTAAAGATAAGAGGAGACACTTTGAGGTCAGAGTATCTGGGTTTAAATCTCAACTTTTTCAGGCGCTAGCTGTTGATAGCAGGTTGCCTAACTTTTCTAAATGTTAAGTTACTTCTTGTGAATTAAGAGAATAAATATTAACTCCCTTGGGTGGTGTAGAAATTAAATGAGATAACATATGCAGTATGCACTCCCACATAATGAGAAATGAGTAAATGTGAGCCATGACTAGTAGTAAATGGGTACAGTAATCTTAAGGGTGTAGTGATGTGGAGGCAGCATCACTGTCTACTTTTTTCCAAAGCAGGGCAAAACAGTATTCAAATAAGGTTGCTGATTGAGCAGAGTTGCAAAATTTGAGCAAAACACTGTGTGTGTGTGTGTGTGTGTGTGTGTGTGTGTATCTCAAAGGGACAAAAAGACACCAAAATTAACAGATTCTGGAAAAAAAAGTTTGTAAATATATATCAGAAACTCTTCCACAAATTTGTGTGTCAACATATCTTCAGTCACTGTGACATTTAAAAATCTGAAAGAACTATTCAGAAACGTAAGGTGAGAAGATTGGGGTCGTTTGGTGCTTAATACAAGTATACCACATCTAAACTTTGCATCTTGGCCAGTCTCGGTAGTTCACATCTTCTATCCCAGCAGTTTGGGAAGCCGAGGCAGGAGGATCTCTTGAGCCCCAGATTTCAAGACCAGCCTAGGCAGTTCGTGAAATCCTGTCGCAACAGAAAATAAAAAATTGTGTGGTGGTGAATGCCTCTAGTCCCAGCTACTTGAGAGACTGAGGTAGGAGACTTGCTTGAGCCCAGGACATCGAGGGTTCAGTGAACCATGATCCTGCCACTGCACTCTAACCTGGGCAACAGAGTGAGAACCTGTGTCAAAATGAATAAATAAATAAACTTCACATGTATTCATTTGCTATCATTTCTAATAAATTTAGAAATGTATTTTACCATGTGTAATTTGAACAATTTAAGTTATAGATTTAGATTTATTGGGATCCGCCCAGAGATATTTCATTAGTTATTGCTCTGGTTGTCCCCCAAATTTCAGCATTTTAATATCTTTTTTTTTTTTTTTTTTTTGAGACTGAGTTTTGCTCTTGTTGCCCAGGCTGGAGTGCAATGGCGCTATCTCGGCTCACTGCAACCTCTACCTCCCAGGTTCAAGCGATTCTTCTGCCTCAGCCTCCCGAGTAGCTGGGATTACAGGCATGCACCACCATGCCCGGCTAATTTTTTGTATTTTTTAGTGGAGACATAGTTTCACCATGTTGGTCGGACTGGTCTAGAACTCCTGACCTCAGGTGATCCGCCCGCCTTGGCCTCCCAAAGTGCTGGGACTACAGACGTGAAACACGGTGCCCGGCCAGCATTTTAATATCTTATCAAAATAACTTTTCAGAATTCAATCCTCTATATAAATAAAACACTGTAAACTTGGTTTTCTTAGGTGTACAGGAGACAGATGCTTAGGGATAGTGATGTAATGACGTTTATTTAATTACGTATGGAGTAAAGTTACCCTAGTGACTTTTAGTGTCTGCATTTTAACAATTTAAATTTCTTCTGGATTTTAAACTACCCGTTTTAGTGATTTATTAAGACTTCCTACAAATCAAAGTACTCAAATCTACTTTGAATAACAAACTCTAGCTTGACTATCTGAAAATGTGTGGTTTTTACTTATTTTCATCTTCCTATTTAAAAGCTACATAAAACTTAATAATAAAAAATAGAATTATGAAAATATGAGGAGGTAAACGTATTCAAGAAAACCCACCTGGAATAGATAAAACTAATCTCTAGTGCTAAAAAAAAAAAATCTAGAAAACTATTTCCTGTTGACTATTATTTTAGTTAAAGAAATGGATTTCTCCATATTCCTTCTAAGCTAATGAAAAATTGGGAAGAAGCCTAGAAGCATTAGGTGGTGCAAAGCCAGGAGGATAAGGATGCTCTGTGTGATCAAGCTCAATTATAGAGAAGCAGCAAGGAGCTTTGTAGAGAGGACTTAGGTGAAAGACAAAGATTCCAGACAGCTAAGCATGAAGGTTGGTAAAAAGAGCATCAGCAGAAGGAAAAATGTCATTGCTCCAAAAAGTGGCTTACCTAATGCCTAGGCAATAAACAAGTGAGTTTAGTCAGAAATTGCAGAGACGGAAGGAACTAAGAATAAATATCCCTCCTGTGTAAAAATCTGTGTGAGAATGTATAAACAAGCTATACACACACACACACACGTATATATATATATATATACACATGTAAAATATATAAATCACCATATATGAAATATACAATTTTTTCTTTAAAATTAGAAAGCAAATTACAGAATTTTTAAAATTCATATCCCTAGAATAACATATCCATGTTTTCTTTTTGTACTTTGATCAGAAATGTACTTTGACCATTTTTATTATGTATTAAATTATAATAATCAAAACAATGTTATTAATATCTTCCTAGTTTTCTTACTTCCTTCAAAGACGAGTTTATTAAGAATACATTGAGTGTGATTCTTACATAACTTTGTAATATATCATGAATTGTCCAGAACTACATAGCTTTTTTACATTGAAAGTCTTGTTATGTAAAACTTAGGCATAATATTTTCAGCAACAAACATCACATGTTCTCACTTATTTGTGGGATCTAAGTTAAAACAACCAAACTCATAGAAAGTAGAAGGATGGTTACCAGAGGCTCAGAAGGGTAGTGGGAGTTGGTGGGGGAGGTGGGGATGGTTAATGGGTATCAAAAAAATAGAAAGAATGAATAAGACCTACTATTTTATAGCATCACAGGGTGGCTATAGTCAATAATAATGGAATCGTACATTTTAAAATGACTTAAATAGTGTAATTAGATTGTTTGTAACTCAAAAGATAAATACTTGAGGCGATGAGTACCCCATTCTCCATGATGCGCTTATTTCACATTGCATGCCTGTATCAAAACACCTCATATACCCCATATATGTATGTATATGTATAGCTATATACACCTATACATACATATTCATACACACCTACTATGTAACCACACATTTTTTAAAAAATAATTAATTCAGAAGTTCCCTTATTAAAAATTCTCAGAGCTTTATTAACCCAGTAGTATTAATTGTTAATCAGATTAACTGGGAGTTACTTTCCTTGTGGACCTAAAGTGATTCTAGTCACAACTTGCAGGTTTCAGTGTGGACACCTGGAGGAAGTGGAAAGTGGAATGCATATAATACATATTACTCTGTCCATTCAAAGGATAGCAATAATTCTAATTTTATTCTTACGGCTTCCATTATTCCCTACTATATTTACATTATCAATTATGCTGCTACTCACTTCTACTATAATCCTGATTTAACTTTTTCTTTTACTATTTTGTTATTTGCAATGAGAATGTATTGCTTGTCTGTGTTTTCTACCTAATTAAAAATAAAAATGGTATGATTTAAACAATAGAATAAAAAGTAGTTATTACTGGAGGAAAAAAACATAATGTAAAGAACACACAATGTAAGTCTGAAAAAGTATTAAAAGTCAAGTATAACTGAAACACATGAAAAATCAGAGGAAAACACATATAAGTTGAGACTATTGTAAAGGAGACCTTGAAGAGAGATTTAGATAGCAATAATTAAGAAAAGAAGCTTAACTTAATAACTAGAGAAGTTAATCACAGCCTAAAAGATGAACTTTTTAGCAAAAGGGATTTGTATTTATAAAAGCTCAAGGAAAATGCAGATGTGTGCAAATCCATACACAGTTTTTGTAGATTTTCTGCATCTCAATAAAATCAAATATTCAGCTTTTACATAATAAATGTATTTTCTATGCCGTTTTTCTTATTGTATTATAAACCACTTTTTGTTTAAAAATTGCAGTCATAGCATCATTTGCCTTGTTTGGCAAAAGTCTGCATTTAATTATTAAAATTAAAATTACTTTTAAAATAAAATTATAAAGCAAACAACAAACAATATTTTATTCATATTCTTATAAAATTATATAAATATTGTCTCCTTTTACAAAATAATATTGTTCCTATTGTTTGGTCAATATATTGACCAGAAATGCACTTTGACTCTGTTTATTATTATTTCATTAATCCCAATCATGGCCAAATGATGATTCTTTTGATTTATGATTCTTCACTTTTTTTTAATTTTATTCAAAGACAATTTCATTCAGTTTCTTTAGGGCTTTTAAAAATTTAACGTAATAGTTTATAAGGAAGAAGCAATTTAGACTGGTTCAAATAATGAACATTTGGTATAAATATACATATGGCAAAAGACATAACCCCAAGGAAATTAAATAAAAAGTGTTATATATCAGAGGCCTTATACCTAGGACCACTAGCAATGCTAACAACCTCAAAAGGAGTCAGTTTATTATTAATCTTGACTCAATTAGTCTCCATATACCTGTTATTTTCTGCTTCTCTACTATCTGCCTCTTTCATTATGTACTTGTCGCCTCACTCTCCATGACTTTTGTTGACCTAGTGTCCTCTTCTTTCTAGTTGCAGACCTTCAAGAACCCTACTCAATTTCATGAACTATCAGCTTCAATTAACTTTGTTTCTAACAAGTCACATTATCTCTGCATTTTCCCAAATTCCAATTTAAATTTATTATTATAGTAATGTAAATAGAATTACACTTTACACAACTTTTTTTCTAAATATGTTTATTCACAACTTAAAATCTGGATAGTTGCAGGAATACTAATTAACTGCTGGCAGTGGAGCTAGCAGCATCCAGGCTGTGTGTGCCTCAGGCTTCAGAAAAGCCATGGTGTTGCTGAGAGTTCCCTGCTGAATGTGGGGACTGCACAGTGGATGCAGGTGTGGAACACTGCAGCTAGCTCCCTATCAATAATCTTTCCACTCTGAAACTGAGGATGAACCTATATGAAATTATGTCAAGAAAATGCCGTTAATAAAAGACCAATACAAAATGTACTTATCATTAGCATCACTAAGGTTTTCTTTTTATTTTCTGCAGTGATCTGGTGATCATTCCGCAGCAGTTAGAACATTTTATGATTTTCTTATTCTATGATAAATAAATATATGTATATATTTTTCTTAACTTTGTTTTATAATTTTTAAAATCTGACGTTTTATTTTATATTCTTTTTATCTTAGTCCTCATTGCACATATTAAATTTATATGTTCCTTATTAGAATCTTTTTCATTTTCTAGTTTTCGATTTCTCATTTTATCTACATGCATAAACAATTATTTACTAATGGCACATTTTTAGTTTTACATTGTAGTACTAATATTTGCCTTGTTTAAAGGACATTTTATCTCCATTGCTTATAAATTTTAATTCATATTTGCTAAAGTTAAAATTTCATTTTTAATATCTTTTCATAATCTTTTATATTTTTCATTTAGTTTTATACTCTTCTTTAAAATTTTTCTTATTTTATACTTTTATATTAATCAATCTTTTTCTTCTTAAATGCGGTTTCCTATATTTTATATTATATTGATAAATCGAAGCATGTATACCAGAAAAACATAAAAGATTGTCTGAAACTCAATTAAGTTCCAATCAAAATTCCAAGAGAAGTTTTGTGTACCTGAGCAACATGTTTCAAAAACGCATGTGTAGGGGTAAGGGAACAAAAATATACAGGATAATTGGAGTAAGAAATATAAGCATGAGCATTCACATGAATAGCAAGAAATATTTTAGCCATAGTAATTAAAACATTAGGTAAAGCATGGGATACCTTGAGATATAACTCTTAAAAATCATGATAATGACCTTGGGTTTTATCTCAGTTGTCATGAGAAAACTTTGCAAAGTTCTGTGTAAGCGAATCACATGATCTGCTTCCCATTAAAAATATTATTCTGGTATCAGGATGATGTTGGCCTCACAGAATAAGTTAGGGAGGAATCCCTCCTCCTCAATTCTTTGGAATAGTTTCAGTAGGAATAATACTAGCTCTTCTTTTTGGTTGTTAGACTATTTATTACTGATTTAATTTCAAAGCTTGTCATTGGTATGTTCAGAGATTCAATTTCTCATTGGTTCAGTCTTGGGAGAATGTATGTGTCCAGCGATTATTTCATTTCTTCTACATTTTATAATTCATATGCATAGAGATGTTCATACTATTCTCTGATGGTTATTTGTATTTATGTGAGATCAGTGGTAATATCCCCGGGTTGTTTCTGATTGTGTTTATTTGGATCTTCTCTCTTTTCGTCTTTATTAGTTTAGCTATCTTATTAATTTTTTTCAAAAAACAAGTTCCTGCATTGATTCCTCTTTTGAATGGTTTTTCATGTGTCAATCTCCTACAGTTCAGCTCTGATTTTGGTTATTTCCTGATAGAGACACAACAACAACAACAACAACAACAAAAAAAAAAAAACTTCATGCCAATAGTGCATTGATAACCACCAATGCAAAAGTCCTCAACAAAATGATGGCAAGCAGAATCCAGTGCAACATTAAAAAGCGTATCCACTATGATCAAGTAGGCTTTATCCCTGGGATGCAAGGTTGGCTCGACATACACAAATCAATATGTGATTCATCACATAAACAGAACTAAAGACAAAAACCACACTATCTCAATAGACGCAGAAAAGGCATTCGATAAAATTTAACACCGCTTCATGTTAAAAACTAGGTATTGACGGAACATACTTCTAAATAAAAGCCATCGATGACAAACCCATATCCCACATTTTCCTGAATGGACAAAAGCTGGAAGCCTTTCTCTTGAAAACTGGCACAAGACAAGGATGCCCTTTCTCACCACTCGTATTCAACGTAGCATTGGAAGTCCTGGCCAGAGTAATCAGGCAGGGGAAAGTAATAAAAAGCATCCAAATAGGAAGAGAGGAAGTTAAACTATCCCTTTTTGTAGATGACATAATTCTATATCTAGAAAAAGCCAGTCTCAGCCCAAAAGCTCCTTAAGTTGACAAAGAACTTCAGCAAAGTCTCAGGATACAAAATCAATGCACAAAAATCATTATCAGTCCTATACATAAACAGCAGTCAAAACAAGAGCCAAATCAGGAATGCAACCCCAGTCACAATTGCCATGAAAATAATAAAATATCTAGAAATACAGCTAACCACAGAGGTAAAAAATCTCTACAAGGAGAACGACAAAGCACTGCTCAGAAAATCAGAGATGATACAAACACACAAAAAAACATTTCATGCTCATGGATAAGAAGAATCAATATAATTAAAATGGCCGTACAGCCCAAAGCAACTTATAGATTCAATGCTGCTCATATTAAACTACCATTGAGAGTCTTCACAGAACTAGAAAAAGCTGTTTTAAAATTCATATGGAACTAAGAGCCTGAATAGAAAACGCAATCCCAAGCAAACAGGACAAAGCTAAGTGTATAATGCTACCCAACATCAAACTATGCTGCAGGGCTACAGTAACCAAGACAGCATAGTGCTGTGTCCGGAATTGGTGGGTTCTTGGACTCACTGACTTCCAGAACGACGCTGTGGACCGTCGCGGTGAGTGTTACAGTTCTTAAAGATGGTGTGTCTGGAGGTTGTTCCTTCATATGTTAAGATGTGTCTGGAGTTTCTTCCTTCTGCGGGGTTCGTGGTCTCGCTGACTTCAGGCGTGAAGCTGCAGACCTTCGCAGTGAGTGTGGCAGTGAGTGTTACAGCTCTTAGAAGGCAGCGCCTCAGGAGTTGTTTGTTCCTTCCGGTGGGGTCCTGGTCTTGCTGGCCTCAGGGGTAAAGCCGCAGACCTTCGCGGTGAGTGTTATATTTCATTAAGGTGGCACGTCTGGAGTTTTTCGTTCCTCCCGTCCACCCCCTCCCCCTGTGGGCTTGTGGTCTCGCTGGCTTCAGGAGTGAAGCTGCAGACCTTCCTGGTGAGTGTTACAGCTCATAAAGGCAGCAGGAACCCAAAGCATGAGCAGCAGCAAGATTTATTGCAAAAAGTGAGAGAACAAAGCTTCCACAGCTTGGAAGGAGACCCAAGCAGCTTGCTACTGCTGGCTCCAGTGGCCTGCTTTTATTCCCTTATCTGGCCCTACTCACATCCTATTGATTGGTCCATTTTACAGAGAGCTGATTTGTCCATTTTACAGAGAGCTGATCGGTCTGTTTTGACAGAGTGCTGATTGGTGTGTTTACAAAGCTTTAGCTAGGCACAGAGCGCTGATAGGTGCATTTACAATCCTTTAGCTAGACCCAAAAGTTCTCCAGGTCCCCACATGACCCAGAAGCCCAGCCCGCTTCACCTCTCAATGGCAATGGCTGAGGGACTTTGTGGCACCTAGTGCAGGCACTCCAGCAGCCCAGAGGGAGCTTGTTCCCAGATCAAGCCCAGCAGGTGCCTGCCGGCCACGCCCAACCAGAACCCATGCCAGCCCGCGAGTGCCGCGCGCAGCCCCGGCTCCCACACGCGCCTCTCCCTCCACACCTCCCCGTGAGCAGAGGGAGCCAGCTCCGGTCTTGGCCAGCCCTAGAGAGTGGCCCTCATAGCGCAGTGGCGGGCTGAAGGGCTCCTCCAGTGTGGCCAGAGCGGACGAGGCCGACAAGACGCTGAGAGCGAGTGAGGGCTGCTAGCAGGTTGTCACCTCTCAGTACCAGTACAAAAACAGAAACATAGAACAATATAACTGCATGAAGAATCCAGAAATAAGGTCACACACCTGAAGTGATTTGATCTTTGAGCAAGTTGACAGAAACAAGCAATGGGGAATGACCTCACTATTCAATAAATGGTGCTGGAATAACTAGCTAGCCCTATATAGAAGATTGAAACAGGATCCCTTTCTTACATCATATACAGAAGCTAACTCAAAATGGATTAAAGATTTAAATGTAAAACCCAAACTACAAAACTTTTGGAAGACAACCTAGGCAATGCTATTCTCGACATAGAAATGGGCAACGATTTCATGACAAAGATGCCAAAAGCAATTGTTACAAAAGCAAAAATTGAGAAATGGAATCTCACCAAACTAAAGAGCTTCCACACAGCAAAAGAAACTATCAACAGAGTGAATAGTGAATAGACAACCTACAGAATGGGATAAAATATTTGCAAACTATGTATCTGATGAAAGTCTAATATACAACATCTATAAGAAGCTTAAACTTACAAGGAAAAAATAAAAACAAATAACACCCTCAAAAAGTGGGCAAAAGGGCCAGGCACGGTGGCTCACGCCTGTAATCCCAGGACTTTGGGAGGCCGAGGTGGGCGGATCACCTGAGCTCTGGAGTTCGAGACCAGCCTGGCCTACATAGTGAAACCCTGTCTCTACTAAAAATACAAAAATTAGCCAGGCATGGTGGTGGGCGCCTGTAATCCCAGCTGCTTGAAAGGCTGAGGCAGGGGAGGCAAAGGTTGCAGTGAGCCATGATTGTACTGTTGTACTCCAGCCTGGATGACAAGAGCAAGACTCCATCTCAAAAAATAAATAAATAAATAATAAATAAATAAATGATGGGTAAAGGAGCAAAAGACTCAGACACTTTTCAAAAAAAGGCATATATACGGCAAACAATCATAGGAAAAACAGCTCAACATCACTGATCACTTAAATGTAAATCTAAACCACAATGAGATACCATCTCATACCAGTCAGAATGACTATTACTTAAAAGTCAAAAAATATTAATAAAAGATGCTGGTTATATTGTGGACAAAAAGGAACACTTATACACTGTTGGTGGGAGTATAAATTTGTTCAACCATTGTGGAATACACTGTGGCAATTCCTCAATGACCTAAGAAGGGAACTACCATTTGACCCAGCAATCCCATTACTGGGTATACACCCAAAGAAATATACATTGTTTTATCATAAAGACACATGCATTCATGTGTTCAATGTAGTACTATTCACAGTAACAAAGACATGAAATCAACCTAAATGCCCATCAATGGTAGACTGAAGAAAGAAAATGTGTAACATACACACCATGGAATATTATGCAGCCATAAAAAAGAATGAGATTATGGCCTATGCAGGAACATGGATGGAGTTGAAGGGCATTGCCATTAGGAAACTAATGTAGGAACAGAAAACCACATACCACATGTTCTACTTATAAGTGGGAGCTAAATGATGAGAAAATGTAAATACACAGAGGGGAACAACACACACTACAGCCTATCAGAGGGTGTAAGGTTGCAAGAGGGAGAGAATCAGGAAAAATAACTAATGGGTCCTCGGCTTGATACTGAGTGATGAAATAATCTGCACAACAAACCCCCATGACATAAGTTTACCTATATAACAAACCTGAACATGTACCCCTGAATTTAAAATAAATTGTAAAATAAAAATAACAATGTTACCCTGGTTGGAGAATCAACAACTAGAGCAAAGTATGGCATCAGGGAGACTAGTATAGAGAACATTGCAGTTGTCAAGCAGAGAGAATACTGTACCTTGGCTAGGATGTGGAGATAACAAATGAGTATTAGGTTTAGGATAAATTTTTAAAGGAGGGCCAATTAAACTAATTACTGTAAATTAATTGCATGTAGATTGTGAGGAAAAAAATTAAAGTTAAATTCTGTTTACAGCCTCAGCAATTGGAGGAATCATGGTGAATTTATTCAGTTGATGTAAATTTGTGAAGGAGTAACTTTGAGACAGAACAATCAAGGATTTATTCTTGAATGAGGTACATTTGAAATGCTTATTAGACATCCAAGTGGAGATGTTATAAAGACAGCTGAATGTATGAGTCTACACTCAAAGACTGAAATAAAAAATTTGAAATGATCAATGTGGTATGGTACCAAAAATCATAAGTCAGCTGTGTAGTTAGAGAATAAAAGAGAAATTACTCCAATATTTAAAACGGAAAGGATGAGAGTATGCTTTTTAAATAAGAACTGCTGGTGAATAACCAAGATAACCCAGATAATACATTTATGTTTCAAGAAGAAAAAAAATCAAAACTGTCAAAAAGTGTATAGATATGAAGTAAAAATGAAGACAGACTTGTTCATCAGTATGACAAAATTAAGATTTCCAGTAACCAAGATAAGTATTATTTAAGAATGGTGGATTTTAGAGTCTGTTGAGAAAAAAAAATCATATGCAGAAGCACAGACCCTAAATACAAGTAATTAGTTCAAATTATTTTGGTACAAAAGGGAACTTAGAAATATGGTGATAACTGAAAGAAAACACATGATCAAGAAAAAACTCATTTAATAAAGTTTTTGTGCTGATAGTAATAGTCCAGTAGAATGGAAACACTGATAAGGTAGAAAGCAAAGAAGATAAAAGGAGCAACTTCAGGAGTGACCCTAGAGAAGAAGAGTCACTCCTAGAGAAGGAGGGTCACTCCTGAAGTTTATCCTTTTATCTTCTTTGGAGCTGAGGAGGGAACAGGATTTAGTCCACAAGGGAAATTGTTGACATTCCATGGGAATACACATAGGGCATTGATTAAAACAGAAGATAAAGGAAACATAGAGTGATAGATGCAGGTGGGTAAGGTAGGCTAATGCATTTGTTGGAAAGTAAGTGTAGCAGTTCTTCCTCTGGCTTGTTGAATTTGTTTTATCAAAACAAGAAGTCAAGTTACTAGCATTCTAAATGAAGTTAATAAAGACAAAGTTTACAAACTATGAAAACATTCTTACATACTGACAAAGGTTGGTGTATAAAGACATATAAAAACCTAGTATAACCAGTGCAAAATCGAAAACATAGAAACATCAGCATAAAATATCAACAGACAATTACAGAAAAGAACGACAAAAGGCAAAGGGAATCTGAAAGATAAATTGAATTTATTGCTGAAATGAGATAAAATTTTATAATCAATATATTGACAAAATTAATTTTTCTTACCAAATATTGTAGAACTTGCGGGAAATCAGTGGTTTTCATACACTGATGGAGAGTATGTTATTTAACTGAATTTAAACAGCCATTTGAAACTTAGTCTTGTGAACACACATTTCACTCCTAGTTAAAGAAATTGTTTTTTAAATCATAGAATTATACATACACTGTATATATTTATATATGTAGTCAAAGCATAAAAACATCAAGGGAGAGGATACATACCAACTTAGGGTTAAATCTGGGGAGGGACCAGCTGAGCGTGGTGGCTCACGCCTGTAACCCAGCACTTTGCAAGACCTAGGCAGAAGGATCACTTGAGGTCAGGAGTAGAGACCAGCCTGGCCAACATGGTGAAACTCGTCTCTACTAAAAGTACAAAAATTAGCTGGGTATGGTAGCATGCACCTGTAATCCCAGATACTTGGGAGACTGAGTCAGGAGAATCGCTTGAACCCCTGTGGAAGTTGCAGTGAGCCAAGACCGCATGCCACTGCAGTCTAGCCTGGGTGACACAGCCAGAACTTGTCTCAAAAAAAAAAAAAAAAAAAGCAAAGTTAAATCTGGGGACAGGAATAATTTTGGGTGAAGCTTCAATTGTGTCTTTAAGGTGCACTATCTTTTTTATAATAGTTACCTAAAATTTACCATGACAAACTGAATCTGGGTGAAGTATTTACAGACATATCTTACATTTTTCACTATACTTGTCTGCATATCTGAAATAATGTTTAAAAATATATAAAATATCCTTAGAAGAGTGGTTCTATGTGAAAAATATGACCAAGTCAAAACATTTCCTTTTCCCCCCTCAGTTTTCCTTAGAGTTGCCTTCAGCTCTCTCTAGAAAATTAATATTTAAAAACAAAAATATCAACAATAAAAATGGGTGGGATTTTGCAATGTATACCCTATACCTAACATATTTGAAGTTATTTAAATGCATAATATTTCTTTTCTCATAGGTCCATTAGAAAAATATCATTTTTCACATTGAGGGAAATATAAATAAGAAAATTAAAGGAACTTGGGTTCTTTCACACAACTAGGTAATGGCCAAGATGTGCATTGACCCTATCTAAAGGCTGTATCCTAATCTAACATAAAGTTCGTCTCTTCTAATACATCTCACTTAAGATTGACTTTTCATGACAGACAAAATCTCAACTGTTAAGTGGGCTATATACTTTAAGGCAGATGTCTAATATGATTTACAACATTTTACCTAAAACTCACTACTGATAATGCCAATTGTATTAGATAAGTTTTAAATGATATGAAAATATGTAAGGCCCTTAGAATGGTGCCTGGAATGGTGTAAGCACTACACTAAAATGTTAGCTAATATTGTTATTTTTATAATCCTCATAACCATTGCAAGATGGTAAGTGTTGTTAGTAATACAAAGATAAAACCAAATACCTTACTTTGAAAATAGATAATTTAATATAGTTTAAATTTATAGTCAAAAGGAGAAGAAAATTCTGTATATAACTAATTAAAAACCAAGACAGAATTAAATGGATACTATTGTATAGGTGCAAAATACTAAGATATTTTAGGACCTAAGTGAAAGAGAGGTTAATGGTCCTTCTGAGACTTGGGGAAGAAAAAATGAAGATAGGTTGAAGAGATATAATTCTAACATTGCAGGAAAAGAATAATTTTGGACAAAGCAAAAAAAGGAGAATATTTTAGATTGAGAAAATCATTTAAGCCATGTTAGAAGCAGAATGTCTGTGTGACTTGGAGTTGGTGAGGATGTATGGAGAAAGGAATGTACTAAAAAAATAGAGAAGATATAATTATGCAGAATAAAGCAGTGGATGCCAGCTAGTGTTCATTCTATAGTCGAAGAAATGCATATAAGTATTTAACTTACTTCTTATTTTATTATAAGTCCTGTTTAGTAAAGTGATTTAACTGTAATTCATTGTGAGATTATATATACCACAAATTTATTAGAGAAAAGATCAGATTTTTGTATCTTCTTTTCCCCATCTTTTTAAACATACTCTTTCAGGTTTCTCTACATTTGTCATATGTACTTAAAGCCTACAGTTTCTGTAAGTACAATGGTTATCTGTTCCTTCAAAATTAAGGTTGGATATTTCACATTTTTCCCATTTTTTCTTATTATTATTTCATTATTTTCATTCTTCCTTCCCTTTTGGCTGCTTATCATGGTAAACACATTTTTGAATCAGTATCCTTGACAAGATAAGAAATGTTTTTAATGACCATATATTTCTTGTCTTAATAATTACAGAATTAGTCTTTTCTTTGAAAAAAATAAGACTTCCAAAAATCTGCATATTTAAAATTTGGAGGGAGTCACTAAACACATTAGAAATTCTTCCGTGAGAGAGAGTAAAATGTCTGATTAATTAATGAAAGATTTTGGAGATATGCTTTGCACCAATCACACTAGATTAGAATATTGCAAAACTCAGCAGAATTCTGCCTGTTCTAATCTATTTTAACCTTGATTTTTTTTAATTTGAAGATATGCATTTAATGTTAATTATTGAATAAAAATGTCACATAATTATATTTGAAATGAATTATGTCATGTGACAACCATTATGTTTGCATAAAATGGGTTATAATTAATTTAAAATTTAAATTTATGGTTACCATATGACAACCTGGGACATATAATTGATCTTCAAATCTAACAGTTTTGGAAAGTAAATGTAATCATTTATAACAATAAATAAGTAGTGATTTAGATTTTGCTTTTGTTACCAAGACATAATACTTCATAAATTCACTTTTAGTTATTAAAGTTATCCCTACATCAGGAATTCTTCCTTTTTTAGAATATCCCTTATCCCACTCCACCTCTCTCTGCTAGATTACAGAATTGAAGATTCCTCAATAATTGTTTGTGTTTAAATCTTGTCTAATACATTGAGAAGACAAGATAAAATAATTCCAGAAACTCTCTTACTCTGATTTGTTTGGCAGCCTAAAAATAACTCATAAGAATCTAAAATAAAATTTAAAAAAGGATTCATATCAAAACACCATGGGATCTGTTAGGATTTTTTTTTTTGACAGGGTCTCGCTTTGTTGCCCAGGCTGGCGTGCAGCTCGCTGCAGCCCCAACCCCCCAGGCACAAGCAATCCTCCACTCAGCCTCTCAAGTAGCTGGGACTACAGGTGTGTGCCACCACACCTGCTTAATTTTTAATTTTTTTGTAGAGATAGAGTCTTACCATGTTGCCCAACCTTTCTAGGTTCAGAACGTCATTTAGTTACTTATCCTGAGGCAAGGTTAACCTTTACTCTCCTTCCAGGGCTTCTTCTGCTTCCCTCATTTTCAATTATATATTTGTATCTGTTTATATATAATGTTTTACATATAGTGTCAGATATTCTTGCAAGAGATATTAAATCCAAGAAAGCTAATCCGTAAATGTAGGAATAAATACATAAATCCAATATGTCATAACAATTCAAGAGGCTATATAATTTTGAGGTTAGAAATATAAAAATAGAGAATAATATTGAACTAAACTCTGAAGTCTATAACAAGTTGGAAACCTTTTCCAGTTCCCATTTATATTTCAATCCCTGTCACTAGATAGATTAATGTTGTGCTAATTTCTGTCCTTTATTAAATTTTATCATAAGAAATGAAGCATTAGAATTTTTGTACCCTAAAGTATTTAATAGTTAATTAGCCTGATTCTCCCAGTGCAAATTCTACTTTCTAGAGCAAATGTAAGATATACACAGCTGAAACAACTGAAATACAACAGAGTTTACCAGATTAATTTGATTGTTTTTTAGTGTACCTGATCACCGTTGATTTGACTGATGCATTGCTTCTGTTACCTTGTCCATGGGTAATGTAACTCATTTACTTTGACTGTTCCAAGCTACTGATAAGAGTCCACAATGATCCATTTAATTGGCAAATTCTGGTTCTTTCAGTCATCTAGATTTAGCACATAGCTATACTATCAATATTAGTTTTCAAAGAAATTCCTAAATCTTTTAATGTACCAATTACTAAATTATTTCTCTAGGCAACAGAGTCAAAACAATCATACTACTTTGTGAATTATTTTATCATGTAATTAAGGAGACATTTCTAATATGCTCTGTTTACTTATGAGGAAAATAAGACAATTACCTGTGGTAAGAATAAATTTAAGTCAAAAACCTATGAGAATGTAACTGTAGGTAATGAATTCAGCCTGAAATTTGGTGTTACTCTACTCCATTATTAAAAAAAAAAATCTTGGCCTCCCAAGCACCCTTCAAACAAACAGCTCTTACCAAAATGGTATTAGCCTAAAATGATAAAATGACACACACATATGCACACAAACACAACTTTAAAAAATAAAAACTCTTTGTCATAGAATTAATACTCATTTTAATTCAAGTGTCTACCTTAATGTTTCTTATAATATTACTCTTTCCTGAAATGCAATAACTGAAGAATATAGGATGATTAGTCTAAATTATATATTATGAATCTGTGCTTGTGCTTTTTATAGCTGAATGCTAAATAATTATTAATTAATTGAATTGTTAAAGTGGCATATCTGATGTATGCCATGAAACTAAAATAAAATAAGCATTATTGAAATCTTTCAACACACTAGGTCTGTTGACATCATCAACCAAGTCTCTGAAGCCATTTTATTTGTATCACTTTTTAAATTGTAATGTGAAACATACAAATTTACCACATAATTACTGTATCCTTCACTATGGTTTAATCTCTCTCATTGGAATAGTAGAAATTGTCAAAATTTTAGTATGTTGCTTAAGACCCCAAACCATTTATTGTCTGCTAATTGATCTTTTCTAATTAGGGTTACTTGTATATATACTCTTCAGGTTTTTACTTGAGGAAATTATGATCTATTAATTTCTATTAATTCATTTGTGTTTGTCAATTTATTTAGAAACTGTGAATTCTCTGCCACATTCAGTAGAAATAACTGAAAGAAAAGTCTAGCACTTCCCTTTCAAGAATTCAAGTAACTTAATAAATACAAATAAGACTATGTGAGATAACTCATAAACATTTTATGCCATAATATTTGTCAAACAATATTTTATAGAGAAGAGGACATTGACATTGAAAAAAGTCAAGATTTGTTCAATTTCTAATTCTGCCACATGCTAATATTTGTCACGTAGAGTATTTTGTGAACTTTGAATATTAAAATATACAATGCGTGTTAAAAACTGTTAACTTCCCTTCTCATGTAATAGAAATCAAGACTCAATCTTCTTCAATAATAAAAGTCACTAAGTAGAATTCGGTAACAAGTAAGTAAGATATATTTTATCTACTCACTTAATTCTGAGAAATAACGTCTAATTTCTTTCAAAGGGAATACTCTTCTAATATGTTTTTTAGAAGAAAATCCCCTCCATTGAGATCTGAGTAAATAGGATGATAATATATACGTTATACAAGCCAAGGCTAAGACCTGCTAATTGCAATGATGACTAGACAAATTAATGTTTATACTGGTACTAATATATTTCTTCAAAGCCACTTGTTTTTCTGTTTGATTTATTTTCTCTAGTGCCATTATGTTCTTGCAATTTGGCCTTTTTAATGATATTTTAAACTGGATTTCATTTTACAGCATTGCATTCTTCAAATGTATCGGAGACAGAAACCATGTTGAATTTGGAAAGGATGCAGACAGTAGTGAACTGTATTGGATATCAGTGGTGATAGCAATAACTCAAAAATTCACAGCTCAATTTATCCTCCATGCCCTCTACCATCTAACTTCCTGGATATTCATAGACTCAGTAGGAACTTAGGACTCATTCTCTACTTTTCCTTCATGAATGCTTTATTGCAAATAAGTGATAGAAATTTTATTTCTGTAAATCCTACTGTACATCTCATTGACTTGTTCACTCATTTGCTATTGCAGAATCCTTATACTTCTTCAAAGCTCCTTCATTATTTATTGCAGTGACATGTAGGTTTTCCATGTGTGCTGATAAACAAGAGTTTACAGCTCTGCATGGCACTTCCCATGATTTGCCCCTTGTATTCTGATTCTAACCCAGAAGTGATGACAATCACCAAGTGCCAACTGAAGGAAAAAGTCAATGAAATGTACAGTAGGATTAACAGAACTAAAATTTCTGTCACTTACATGCAATGAAGCGTTTATGAGAGAAAAGTAGAGAATGGGTCAGAAGTGTGCAGGTAATGCAAAACACGTAGTAAATGGTTTCACAAACAAGCATATAATTATATACATTGACATATACTTTGTGAATAACAAGATGTAATAAATTAAGACATTTCAGGCTTAATTTAGATTGAAAGGCTATGTGAGGTCTCTAAGAATTAACACTGACCATAAGATATGTAGTCATTAAGGACAATTATAAATAAAAATAACATTTCACTTTTTTAATGGCTTTTGAACACTGTGATATCATAAGAATAGCTAGGAAAATAGTGGACAGGAAGATCTATGAAGGCAATTAGTCTTATGAAAAATTAAAGCATGGCACAAATCCACTACAACGAAAACAGAAGCAGGAATGCACAGAAAAATAATAGAATCAAAAATAAAGTCAAGAAATAGACTCAACTGCAGTACATATATATATATATATATAAAATATATATAGTACATACATATATACACACATATGCACAAATATAATGATATATAGACCTACATATGTATCATGTGTATGTGTATATATATCTATATATAGATATATGCATATATTTATACATATCTACAGATATATATACATGTATATATGTATATAGATACATATATACAGATATATACAAACTATGATAATGATTATATCTCAAGCCACTAAGGAAAAGATAGCTTTTTTGGTAAATAAATAATATTGGAACTAATGACTAAATTATGTAAAAAGTTAAAGTTTTTCTCACCATACACACAAATAAACTCCAAATGGATTTGGGATCAAACCTTTTTTTTTTGTTTTGCCAGGAGAAAACATGGGTAATTATATCTATTATCTGGATATAGATAAAGGCTTTCTAACTCTAGCTAAAATTCAAATGCAATTTAAGAATATTTAAAAAGAGAATTTTAGACTAATACCCTTGATGAACATCAATGCAAAAATCCTCAATAAAATACTGGCAAACCGAATCCAGCAGCATATCAAAAAGCTTATCCACCATGATCAAGTGGGCTTCATCCCTGGGATGCAAGACTGGTTCAACATATGCAAATCAATAAATGTAATCCATCATATAAACAGAACCAAACACAAAAACCACATGATTATCTCAATAGATGCAGAAAAGGCCTTTGACAAAATTCAACAGCCCTTCATGCTAAAAACTCTCAATAAATTAAGTATTGATGGGACGTATCTCAAAATAATAATAGCTATCTATGACAAACCCACAGCCAATATCATACTGAATGGACAAAAAATGGAAGCATTCCCTTTGAAAACTGGCACAAGACAGGGATGCCCTCTCTCACCACTCCTATTCAACATAGTGTTGGAAGTGTATGGCCAGGGCAATCAGGCAGGAGAAGGAAATAAAGGGTATTCAATTAGGAGAAGAGGAAGTCAAATTGTCCCTGTTTGCAGATGACATGATTGTATATCTAGAAAACCCCATCGTCTCAGCCCAAAATCTCCTCAAGCTGATAAGCAACTTCAGTAAAGTCTCAGGATACAAAATCAATGTGCAAAAATCACAAGCATTCTTATACACCAACAACAGACAAACAGAGAGCCAAATCATGAGTGAACTCCCATTCATGATTGCTTCAAAGAGAATAAAATACCTAGGAATCCAACTTACAAGGGACGTGAAGGACCTCTTCAAGGAGAACTACAAACCACTGCTCAATGAAATAAAAGAGGATACAAACAAATGGAAGAACATTCCATGCTCATGGGTAGGAAGAATCAATTTCATGAAAATGGCCATACTGCCCAAGATAATTTATAGATTCAATGCCATCCCCATCAAGCTACCAATGACTTTCTTCACAGAACTGGAAAAAACTACTTTAAAGTTCATATGGGACCAAAAAAGAGCCCGCATCGCCAAGTCAATCCGAAGCCAAAAGAACAAGGCTGGAGGCATCACACTACCTGACTTCAAACTATACTACAAGGCTACAGTAAACAAAACAGCATGGTACTGGTACCAAAACAGAGATACAAACCAATGGAACAGAACAGAGCCCTCAGAAATAACGCCACATATCTACAACTATCTGATCTTTGACAAACCTGACAAAAACAAGCAATGGAGAAAGGATTCCCTATTTGATAAATGGTGCTGGCAAAACTAGCTAGCCATATGTAGAAAGCTGAAACTGGATCCCTTCCTTACACCTTATATAAAAATCAATTCAAGATGGATTAAAGATTTAAATGTTAGACCTAAAACCATAAAAACCCTAAAAGAAAACCTAGGCATTGCCATTCAGGACATATGCTTGGGCAAGGACTTCATGTCTAAAACACCAAAAGCAATGGCAACAAAAGCCAAAATTGACAAATGGGATCTAATTCAACTAAGGAGCTTCTGCACAGCAAAAGAAACTACCATCAGAGTGAACAGGCAACCTACAGAATGGGAGAAAATTTTCGCAATCTACTCATCTGACAAAGGGCTAATATCCAGAATCTACAATGAACTCAAACAAATTTACAAGAAAAAAACAAACAACCCCATCAAAAAGTGGGCAAAGGATATGAACAGACACTTCTCAAAAGAAGACATTTATGCAGCCAAAAAACACATGAAAAAATGCTCATCTTCACTGGCCATCAGAGAAATGCAAATCAAAACCACAATGAGATACCATCTCACACCAGTTAGAATGGCGATCATTAAAAAGTCAGGAAACAACAGGTGCTGGAGAGGATGTGGAGAAATAGGAACACTTTTACACTGTTGGTGGGACTGTAAACTAGTTCAACCATTGTGGAAGTCAGTGTGGCGATTCCTCAGGGATCTAGAACTGGAAATACCATTTGACCCAGCCATCCCATTACTGGGTATATACCCAACGGATTATAAATCATGCTACTATAAAGACACATGCACATGTATGTTTATTGCAGCACTATTTGCAATAGTAAAGACTTGGAACCAAGCCAAATGTCCAACAATGATAGGCTGGATTAAGTAAATGTGGCACATATACACCATGGAATACTATGCAGCCATAAAAAATGATGAGTTCATGTCCTTGGTAGGGACATGGATGAAACTGGAAACCATCATTCTCAGCAAACTATCGCAAGGACAAAGAACCAAACACCACATGTTCTCCCTCATAGGTGGGAATTGAACAATGAGAACACATGGACAAAGGAAGGGGAACATCACACACCGGGGCCTGTTGTGGGGTGGGGGGGTGGGGGAGGGATAGCATTAGGAGATATACCTAATGCTAAATGATGAGTTAATGAGTGCGGCACACCAACATGGCACATGTATACATATGTAACAAACCTGCACGTTGTGCACATGTACCCTAAAACTTAAACTATAATAATAATAAAATAAATAAAATAAATTAATTAATTAATTAAAAAAAGAATATTGGTTGATTTGACTATGTAAAAATAAAGATAAAACTGTGATGGTGAAGAGTACCAGAAGTAAATCAAATGACAAATAACGATGCAAAAAAGATATTTGCAATGTAAATCACAAATACAGGATTACTAGTCTTAATATAGAAAATATCATTTTTATTTAATTATTATGTATATGTAATAATCAGACATGTTTATGAGGTACATGTGATATTTTGAACAAGTATACAACGTGCACAGATCAAATTCAGCATAGTTAGGATATTCATCACCTCAAGCATTTATCACTTCTTTGTGTTAGGAATGTTGTAATTCCATTTTTGTTGTTATTTTAAAATATACAATAAATTATTGTTAACTATAGTCACCCTGTTGTGCTACCAAACACTAAATCTTATTCTTTATACTTACATAATGTCCTTCAGTTCTATCCATGTTATTGTAAAAAGAATGGTTTCGTTGTTTTTTTATGGCTTAATAATATTTCATTGTGCATATATATCAAATTTTCTTTATCCATTCATCTTTTGATGAACACTTAGTTTGATTCCACTTCTTGGGTAATGTGAATAGTGCTGCAATAATCATAGTAGTGCAGATATCTTTTTAATATACTGATTTATTTTCTTTTTGGATGTATACCAAGCAGTGGGGTTGCTGGATCACATGGTAGTTCTTTCTTTAGTTGTTTGAAAAACCTTTATACTGTTTTTCATAGTGGCTGCACTAATTCACATTTCAAACAAGTGTATGAGGGTTCCCCTTTCTCTACATTCTTGCCAGCATCTGTTATTGCTTATCTTTTGAACAAAAGGCCATTTTAACTGGAGTGAGATAATATCTCATTGTAGCTTTCTTTGATTTGCTCTTCTCTGAAGCTTAGTGACGTTGGGCATTTTCTCATACATGTGTTTGCCATTTATGTGTCTTCTTTTGAGAAATGTCTATGGAGATCTTTTCACAGCTTTTAATTGTATTGTTTTGTTATTGTTTTGTTTTTGTTTTGTTTTGTTATTGAGTGTTTTTGGAGCTCCTTATATAATCTGGTTATTAATTCCTTGTCAGATGGGTAGTTTGCAAATACTTTTTTTCTCCTTTGTGGATTTTCTTTTATTCATTTAGTTAACAGTCTCTTTAAGAAAGGATGCTGAAAAAAGAAAATATTCATATGCAAAAGAATGAAACTGGACCTCAAACTCTCACCATATACAAAAGCAAACCAAAATAGTTTAAAGACTTAAGTTTAGAACCTGAAACTACTAGAGGAAAACATTGGAGAAACACTCCAGGACCTTGGTCTGGGCAAAGATTTCTTGAGTAAAATCTCCCAAGCACAGGCAACCAAAGTAAAAACGGACAAATGGGATTTTATCAATTTAAAAAGTTTCACCACAGCAAAGGAAATTTTAAAAATTGATATAAAAAGCCAAAAAATATTATAGATAATAAGGAAAAGATGTGAACAAGCAATCCACCAAAAGAGATATAAAAAGGTCCATAAACATATGAAGTAATGTTCAACATCACTCCTAATGAAAGAAAGGCAACGTAAAGTACTCTGAAATTCCATTTATCACTGCTGGCATTGGCAAAATATCAGAAGCTTGAGAATTGGGAAGGCTGTGAGAAATCAGACAGTCATAGACTTTGACTGCTAAAATGAAAATAGATACAATCTCTTTGGTGAGAAATTTGGCAATATCTAATAAAATTCTTCATGTGCTCTAACGTTTCCAATCACCAATCTCATTCTTAGTCGTATCCTTGCAGATATAACTCCGAAAACATAAAGATTCACAAACACAATTCAGTAGAGCAGTATTTTTCAGTGCAAAATGTTAGAAACCAATCATTGGAGATTGAGTACTAAACTATGTTACATGCACACAACTTAGAATGTACAATCATAATATCCAGCTGTAAAAATTGAAGGCCTGTGAACTGAGGTAAAATTATTTCCAGGAGACACTGTGAAGTAAAAAGAATACCAAATGTGTTTGTGTGTGTGTGTGTGTGTATGTGTGTACACATTTGTAAAAGGAAAGAAAAGTAAGATAGCATGCACATGTATGTGTGTATACACATATACACACACTTATCTTTAAAAAAAAGTACAGTAGTAATAAAATTGATAACTAAATTGGTTACTTACAAGGAATTGGGAGAAATTAGGTACAAGAGACCCCTTATTTTACTTTTGTTTTGACTTTTGTAATCACGATAATATTCTACATATTTAAAAATATTGAGTTAATTTAAATCAATAATAATGAAAAGGAAAATCATGTAGAAATAAAGGTAAACTTAATGTTGGTAGATGTACTTTATTTTAGTTTAGTTTTAATTAATCGATTATTTTTTGAGGCGGGGTCCCTCTCTGTCACCCAGGCTAGAGTGCAGTGGTACCATCACGGCTCACTGCCGTCTTGATCTCCTAGGCTCAAGCGACCCTTCCACCTCAGTCTCCTTAGTAGCTGGGACTACAGGTGCATGCCACCACACCAAGCTAATTTTTAAATTTGTTTTAAAGACACGGTCTCGCTGTATTAAAGTGCTGAGATTGAAGGTGTGAGCCACTGGGTCTGGCCGTGCAAATGCATTTCGAATGAATATTATCACCACACTGAAGAAGGAAAAATAAGAGAGAGAGATAGACCGAAAAGCAGAGAGATAGACAGAGGAGTGTCAGAGAGAGAGAAAAAGAAAAAGAAAAAAAACTCAAGTAATGTATGAAAATAATATTTGACGATATGTAATATACTGTAAGTCTTTGGTGGAAGTGGTGGTTGCAAATAAATCTTCAACTCTTCTTAGGAAGTCTACTTTTGTAATGTGATGGGCAAAATATTCTGAAACAATTTTAGATGTATTGTAGAGTTGAGCAAAAAATGGTATGTGTTGATACATTTGGGATCCAAGGTTCTCACTGAAGAAGAAGAAATGACAACTATGAAGTGCAGGAAGCAGAAAAGGACCATGCCATTGTGCACTATGTACATTTGTGCCAGTGATGTACATTTGTATATATGACTTATGTATATGTTTATAAAAAGACATATATTTTCAAGCTCTATACTCTGTAAAGGTCAAGACATAATGACACTCCAATAGCAATGAGCATATCAAGTGCCTGAACCTTGGTCACTAGTAACATACTTGACCAAGAGAAACCACAGATCCTAAGAAAAATGTCTCTTATAGAGCCAAGGTATATGACATATAAACCTGTAATGTCTGATGCCAGAAGTATAATAATAATAGTAATAACAAAGTAATAATAATAAAGTGGGAATTGTTGCTGTTCAAATCTGGGACAATTTGAGAACCAAAATAATTCAATATATCAATGAATGACAAGCAATTAAAATTGTAAATGTGTTAATTCATACATATAATAAATCAATACATAAGAATATGAATATATAACTGAGAGTATAAAGGAAAGAATTCCAGAGTTGGAAATCAGCATTTTGCAGCCATCATATTAAGAGTGAATCAAGCAAGGATCATCAATAGATACTATATGTAAGAGGAAATTATAATGAGGAACAGGTTATCTGTATGCTATTGAAGACTTTCTCTACAATCTGCTAATTGGTACAAGAGAATAAATAAACAGTATAAATATGGTGGTGAAATCAAAGAACACCTGGATAAACTCATCAGAATTAACTTTACCAATTCAAGAGATAGACATTGTGTGACTTCAGATATAACTCCATGAAAAGAACAAAACACCACAGATTACAATCCAGGAAATAACGCATAATCTTCTTATAATCATAAGAAAAAAGAGAAACAACTGGCAGGAGAGAACAGTGCTCTTCAAAAAATAGCAGTGGAAGACAAAAAGAGGCTTTTAAAATGTTCCAGATTAAAGAAGTCTAAAGTGACATGACAGCTAAATAAAAATATTTGTCCCTAGATGGAGTCTTGTATTGGAGAGAAAAAATATAAAAATTATACAACTTTTGACAAAATTGAAATTTGGATGGCATATTATAGAAAATTTTGAAGCAATATTAAATTTACTGAAAAGATAAATACGTTGTGATTTTGTAAAAAACAATACTAGTATCTGAGAAATTACAAACATGTATTTAGGAGAAAAGGCCATGGTCTATGCAACTTAACCTCAAATATTGGGAGAGAGAAACAGAAATCCACAGAGTAAGAGAAGAGATCAGGCGAATGGGGTAAAAGGTAATAGTTGGTGAATCTGAATAAAAGGTAGACAGATTCCCTTAGTACAATTCTTATTCTTGCACAATCTTGGTGTGTGAAATTATGCACAAATATTTAAACAAAATAAGAGTGATGTATTGTTTAAAAATGTGATATACTTTTAGTAACATTATGAAAAGGAGGATGAATGAATTAAAATAATTGTGATGGCTGAATATTTAGTAGAAATAAACATGACATATTTATTTCTAGAATAGACTTTGTTTTGCTATACAACTAAAGGAAGCTTCCATTCAAAAAATGCAAATCTGATATTTTCATGTGTATGAATTTTAAGGAAACTCCTTGCCAGTCAGACCGTTCTTGACTAAGCAATCTGGTATCCAACCAAGTAATGAGACAGAGTTACATAAGAAGCTGTTGTAAATGTAATAAAAAAACAAATTGCAATAAGAATGTATTGTATATTTTAGCTGGTTGTTTCTTTCTTATCTCTAAGGAGCAAGAGAACTAGATCAGAATGTCAGATAAAAATCACTCTAATAGATGAAAATTGTCTCGGCTGTGAACAAAGGCTCACACCTGTAAACCCAGCACTTTGGGAAGCTGAGGTGGGAGGGATCATTTGAGGTCAGATATTCAAGAGCATCCTGGCCAACGAGGTGAAACCAGGTCTCTACTAATTATACAAAAATCAGCCAGGTGTGTCGACACGTGTCTGTAATCCCAGCTACTCTGTAGGCTGAAGCACAAGAATCATTTGAACCAGGGAGCAGGAGTTTGCAGCGAGCCGAGATTGTCCCATTACAATCCAGACTGGGCAACAGAATAAGACTCTGTCAAAAAAAAAAAAAAAAAAAAAAAAAGGAAGAAAGAAAGAAAGGGAAGGAGGGAAGGAAGGAAGGAACGAAGGAGAAAGAAAGAAAACTGTCTGTAACAATATGTGACTAGCATACACATGCTGATTAAAATAGACAAATCAGCATGATAGTTTCTTATAAAAGCTAACCCTTCAATCTGTGAATTTTATAAATTTAGACAATCTAATCACCTGCTAATGACCAAACACTAACACTATATTTCTACATTTTAAAAATGTCCTATCACTTCTAAGCCTTTGAAATGACATTTGCTTCTTGTTTATAATGAAATTTACTATAAATAAAATGTAGATTCCATACCTTAAATCTCAAAACATAGGCCAAATTATGTATTTCTTAAATGCAATAAGATTAATTTGTAATTTTTTACACTAAGTCTACTAGGTACTCAGTACCTAGGTACTAGGTACATTTATTTCCATTTACTCATTAAATAGATATTGAATATTTACTCTTTGCAAGTCACTGTGTTAAGTTCTTAGGATGTAATAATGAGCAAAATATAGTCCCTAGCACAGATAAACTTTATTTAACAAGGAATACAAACAAACTTGCCATTTATATTCATTTTGTGAATACTTATTTCAGTAAGCACAGGTTGTTTTGCTACAGAAATGAAAAAAGTGGCATCTAAACTAGGTTTTGGTATTAGGAAATATTTTTATTATAAAAAATAAATAAATATTTAACTAGGAAACTGAATCATAGCTTACATATAGTATTACAAAGAAAAAATGTTTCGGCTGGGTGAATATTGTAAGAAGTGTTCTATAATATCCAAAGAGTGTATGTGCAGGAATAGACATATAGGGAGATGTTGTGAACTCCAATTATTTCAGTGTGGTTGAAACACACAAAAACAATGTGAGAGGTAAGGCTTGAGCAGAATTCAGTGTTTGCATCAGAAAGGAACTTGGGTCTAGATAGCTGGGACTTTATCTGATAATATTCAGTAGGTATACACTGGTCCACAAATATTTATCAATCAACTACTATGTGGTTGTACAGTTCTGAATGTAGCATTTGTTGCCCTTTGGAATTTATATTCTAGATTTTAGGCACTAGAGAATATACCAGATTAAAAGCAGGCAAACAAACAATTGGACAGTGAAGAAGTGAAGGGATTAAATAGTTTACATAATAGTTGAATAATATATACAATCTATTTGTTAATTCATTAAATATTTATAATATACATTCTGTGCACCATATCCTGAAGATATTATAGTAAACAAAAGACATATACCGTTTATCTTCTAGTGCTTATGATTTAGTGGGAAATGGGAAAACGAATGAACTGTTATTTTGCCTAATTACGTGCCAGACACTACTCTAAACACTTCACAAATGTTAACTCTTTCAATTTTTGTAACATCTTGTAAGAGAGGTACTTTATTATACCTATCTTATAGATGAGCAAAACAGGCACAGAGAGATTAAGTAACTTGCATAAGAATTTGATGGAGTAGAGCTTTGAGCCAAGAAATGTGGCTCCATTCACTAAACTATTAAGCTATGCTTTTTCTGAAATATGAATAACTGTGAAAGAAGAAGAAAAAGAGAATGCCGTGCAACATATTATCATATTACCTAATCAAAAGTCCTGATAGCCTTCTGTGAAGAACTGAGAGGCAGAGACCAAAATAGTAACAATAAAAAGAGAATAGAAATTTGTTTCAAGAAGAGTGCTCCAGATTCAGGAAAGAATATATGAAAGAGTGACTAGGGCAGTAGGACTTTAGAAGCATGGTCAAGATTTTGAACTTTATCCTGAAGACTAGAAGTAGGAAAACTGCAGCCCATGGGCCAAATCATGTCTTCCTCTTGTTTCGTAAATAAAGTTTCATCGAAACCCAGCCACATCCCTTGATTTATGTATTATCTATGATTTACTTTGTGCTATAGTATTAGAATTGAGCAGTTGAGACAGAGACCATACGGTCTGAAAAACTTGAAACATTTACTATCTGGTTGTTTACAGAAAAAGTTTGCTGACCCTAGTTGTAGGGAATAGAAAGAAAATCAAAGGTGTTCAATTGGAAAGTGATATAATTAATTTTCATTTAAGAATATCACTCTGTATGTGGTATGGAAAATAGACTGGAGAGGGGGGGAATCAAAAGGAAATTAAGAGACCATTTCAGTGTTCATTCAAAGATAAGAAATGATGGTGGCTTGAATAGGCTATGATGATTAACAGATATGGAAGGTGATTAAAAGTAGAATTTAGGATGGTTTCAGATTCCTTCTTTAAATAGTTGGGTAGAGGGCAAGTAGGATAAGGGAGTGATATAGCTAACTGCAGATTAGGGGATTTAAATAAGGCTTCCAGGAGAGTTCTGATTGAATGATACTCTGGGTGTAGCTATCTAAATGAATGCTGCATTAATTCATCCAGGATGATGGCAGAATCTAATAATGATTTTGAGTCTAGTGTCCAAATTGCCAATAAATATAGAAAAGAAACCCAGCATAATTAAGTGATTTAAAATATTTTTTAATGTAAGCATGCAAATAATGATCAAGAAGAGATATTAATGAGTGAAGAAATCTGATCCCAAGTCCAAAACCCTAATTTCCTTAAATATGATGGAGGGAAGCTCAATTATTGTTTATGGAATGCTGAGGGATCAGTTAATTCCTAAGGCTAACAGAGCAGAAGAAATATTTACTAAATAGTGTGAGGGTGAGATAGAATAAGGGTGGGATGTATTTCCTTTTTCACATTTTTTTTCTTTTTTTCTTCTTATCTTCACAAAACCCACATAACCACCTCTCTGACACTATGCCCACTACCCTTGAGGCTTTAGTCACACAAAGAAAACAGCTACTGTGCTATGCTTTCATAATGTTTAACTATCCCTTGTACTAAGGAATACCAGAAATTGGCCTTATAAGATTTAAATATCTAATTAAGATTGTGGAGTGTCGCGTCGTTGAAAGCATTGCTGAAGTTGATTTATAGCCTTGCTACCTTGTCCTGACCACCAGGTGGCCCATTAACAAGATAAACATTGCAATCAGATTTGCTCACCTCGATAGCCTACCAGTCACGTGCTTTGGCCTGCCCAGCCTGCATACCCTACCCCGATGTAAAGTTCTGAGCTTTGCCTGATGAAATATCCCTATTAGCTTTTTCCAGGAGCCCCTGACGGATCCTTGTGCGTTGTCTCCACTGCCTTCCTTGAGCTGCAGTACAAGCCCTAAAAGAAAAGCCTTGTTTGGGAAATCTGCTTGCCCCCTTGTTAATTTCCATTACATGAGGAGCCAAAGAGCCTGTGGTCTATAACAAGGGTATATAAGGAATTATTTTCCATTAGGTAGAACCTTCAGAATTAAAATTTCATCAGAAAAAATAAAAGAAGTGGAAGAATAAAAAATAGATGAATATATGTGTTCATATTTAGGGAATAATTAAAAATTACGGGGATGTGAGGCAGGGTAATCTTAACTAGCATCTAGGTTTTTAGAAGATGCCGTTTAGTCTGACCTGATGCATGAAATGTGATACTGGGGTATGTGAAAATTTCATGAAATTAATTACTTTACTATTATATATTTTTTTTTCTCTGAGCAATCATTCCTGCCTCTTGTGCTCCCCAGGACCTACTATTTCTAAAATTACTACTGAGAGAATCTTACCCCTTATTCCCTAAGTCTAGTTCATAATTTTAATATCATTACATTGAAAATGGTCCTTCTGCCAATCTTGCCTTAATATTTAAGGCTTGGGTCAGATTTCAGATACACTGCACCAGTACTTTTATTCTTTAGAAGAAACTCATTTCTTACATGTAAATAACTACAATTTTAAATATTATCTTTAAGAAGATGATGACTTGAGTTTTTTCTAGGCTTAAACATTTTATCCTGGCTTCAATTCCACATGTGTAACTGAATACAAAATATATCCGCTTGAATGCTCAGTTATTGCTTCAGATTCAACCCATCCAGTTTTGAATATAACATATTCAAATATGGCCCTCTGGTTTACTACATTATTTCTTTCAGTTGTACCACTGCTTTTCAGCTCTCCCAGGTTAGGCAGTTTGAAAATCATCTTCACTGTGTCTCTTCACTTTGCTATGGTTAATTGGCCACCAAATCCTGTAACTATAAAATTAAGTCAAAATATGTAGATATTTTACTATAAAAATCATATTGGGCAAATTATTTAACATCTCTGGGTCTCAATTTTACCACTTAAGTCAAAATGAGTATTTTTCTCATAAGGAGGATAACCCAATGAAGCAAGAATTAGAGGCACCATACTGTATTGTTTCAGAGCATGAATTTCCCAGCAAAATTGCTTGAGTATAAATCCTAGCTCTGCTCAGAACTAGCTGTGTGAACTCTAGCAAGGTACTAGCTTTGTGATCTTCTTTACTTAATTTCTCTACATTTAAAAGGGAGATAATAAGAGCTTCTACTTTGTAGAGTTATGACGATTAATTGAACACATATTTATGAAGCTTTTAGAATATTTCCTTATACAAAGGAAATGCTAGATAGATCAGTATTTGTTAAATGAAGGTGGGATCAATATATACTTTACAGCCCTATTCCTAGCATATTGTAAACATTGACAAATTCTAGCTATTTGTCAAATATTAGCTCTAGATATCATGGTTTATTCATCTTCTCAGCTTCCATTGCCAGTAGTCTAACTCATGTATTCATTAGCTCATCCATGAACTACAGTCAAGAGTATTTGTCTCTAACCTTTACACCTGTGGTGGATTATCTGTGGTTAGTTTAACATCACACATGTTCCCTTCTTACTCTTATAGTTGTTAAGCTCTATTTCCCAAAATTTTCTCCTACTAGAGTTAAGACAATGAAAGCACGCAAGCAAGCCTCAGTGACTGTGCCGGAATTAGCAGTTACCTGACAAGGAATACTGTCAGCAGCTTCAGATCATCCGGTGAGAATGACTTCAATGCTGTTGGCAACTGAAGTCATAATCAATGGCTTCATTTCCATTTCCTCAATTCTGGAGTCCCTTTACATTAGTAATAATTTTCCTAACTTTTGCTCTTCCAGCCCTTTCAAAGTTGCATAAATTTCTGATTTTCTATTTGAATCCTTTTCTGTCCCAAATACCTAAAATGCAATTTTTTTCTTTGAGTTTTCCCATACCTAATTATAAAGTCAGTAATATGGTTCCTGTTATCCTATGACATCTCAAACCAAGTTCCTATCAAACTTGAATGATTTCCTATAAAAAACCTTTTTCCCTTTATTGTAAGAATATTTCAAACAGATGCTCCCACTGATTAATTTTTCACTGCACATACTACGAGAGTATAATCAAAGTTTGGTCCTATTCTTGCTAAAAACAAAGAAACATTTCCCAACCAAGAGGAAGTCTTTCTCATTCAGTACTCTTTCATCTGACTTTTCATTTTGCTATTTTCTTATTTTGACTCTGATATTTGAATACCTACTGTGCTGTATTTGTTTTCATATATGTCAAACTTCTCCTACCCTTTCAGAGTTCTGTTTCCTCTGTCATATCTGTATGATGCTTACTTGCCTACTGTTGTGTACAGATTTTTAAGAGCAGAAGATATGTGTACTTCTCATTCTCAGCAAATAATTTATACCAAATCCATGGATAGGATTACATATAAGAAAAAGTTGGTGACTCATTAGCCCTACTCCAATAAAAAGCTAAAGCTAACCGTAAGTACTTAAGTATAAACATAAATACTTAAGTTTAAACACACAAATGCTTTCTTCTGATTTACCTGTGTTTTTAAGGATCAAGAGCAATTATTTCCCAAATAGAAACCATATCTAGAAATAAATTCTCTCTTCCCAGGTTTCGAGACCCAAATTTATACTCTTGGGAAAGAAGAAAAAGATGGCGGAATAAAGATAACTAACTTTTTCATTCCAAAACTCCCTTCCACCATCAAAACTCTCACTATGTAGACTAGTTATTTGTGATATCTAACATAGTTCTTCCACAAGGAGAGGTGAGGGGCAGAGGAGGGTGTCAATGGTATATCATCTACCTGTTTTTGTCTATAGTTTTCTTAATCCCTAACTCATAGTTACTCATTTGTTTTCCTTCTTTTTATTTCTGGAAATCTGGAAAAAAAAAACACACAAACTGTTTCATTGTCCCAATATTAATTATTTATATGATTTACATAAGGGCATGCACTACATGATAAGGAGAGTATAGCTGGGTATGCTCATACCCCAGACCTAATACTCTCTAGATACATTCCCTCAATCAAGTTATTTAAATTCTTTGTGACTCAGAGACACACAGTTTATTAAGTTTTAAGAGTAGAATAAAAGTAGGGCCTTTTCCATGCATTTGCAAAATTAAATAATATTTTTAAAGCCACATAGGAAACTGTTATGCACAATAATACATATTTCAGAAATGTTAGCTTATTAAAACAGACATGATTCTGAATATTACTGACAAATTAATTCTATTTTGAAGCATAACTTTTGCACCAATTATGTGAGTCCAAAATTTCTACTTCTCTTTCACCAAATACTTCCATAATTTTGTATTATCCTACATATAAACAGAATTTTCTATGTTTTGTCAAAATAATTATTTTATTCTAGTGAAGCTGAGATCTCTGTTTCTGTATATATATATACACACACACATATACATACACAAATATATATCTGTATATAAATATATATATTTCTTAATAACAATAGAATAATAATACACATATGAATGAGAATCTATGGCTTACAAATTCCTTTCTCATATTTGTATCACTTGTGTATTACTAATTTGAGACTCTTTTTTAACAAATAGAGGGTGTAAAAAAATAATAAACGTAAAACAGTAAAGAGCTAGTTTATAACTTGTCTTCAGAATTTTGGATACAAGACTAGCATTTACCTAATGTAGGATTTGTCTTTCTTCACCGGAAAATGATCTTGTCCTTAAAGCAGCAGATTTTGTCTGACATTTGCTATATTCTGTCTTTCTCATATGCATAATTTTTAATATTTTCTTTGTTCTCAGTATTTTCTAGTTGGTCTCTTAGAAAACATTCACCATTATAAATAATTTTAACAGATTTGTTAATAATAATATAAAATATGTAACCATAAGTGAAAGTTATACTGATTCATATTTTTGCATAAATTATAACAAGGTAAATAGAAAATTTCTAATTACAGACATGTTTATAATCTGTTTAATACCAATGTTCATTTGGTTGGGAGTTAAGGTGTAATTTAATTAATTTTTAATTTTTTTAATTTCTGATTTTCAGTCTATGCTACAGAGTAAGAAAAATAATGTATTTCCTGTTATAAACCCTACAATTACTCACATATTAAACACTGCCATACTTGAAGGTGGGTACAGTACTCTTAATAGTGAAGGTGACTTTGGAAATACAGATGAAATATTTTTCTTTTCATCATGTAACATTATTCAGTATCTTTAAACAGTGAATGGTAGATGAATGATAGTTTTAGCTGAGTAAAAACTCAGGAAAAAATCATTTGGTGATTCTTAATGAGATGAAAACATAATTTGATCCCAGAAGTGATAATTGGAAATGTCAAGATACCTTTCATTAGTAAGTAGAAATAGTAATATATAAAACCATTTGTAGAAATAGGACATGTATACCATACGGTTGCTCATAAGGAAAAATGCACGACCTTGAAATACATTTCACTTACTGCATTCAACAATTCATAATAAACTTCATCAATAGAGTTAAGACAAACATTGGAATAAATCACCTGTTACCTAAAATATTTTGATCCTTTTACTTTTGAGATACTCAATGTTCTTGATCTTCCTTTGCTCTTTTTGGCTCATTTGACCTATATATAACTTTAAACAGCTCCCTGGCTGACAGACTATCTCATCATATGGTAAATGGTAATACACTCCATTACACAGTAACTTTAAAATCATAGCCCCACTGAGAACCTGCTCTAAGAGTTTAACTACTCTCTTGGCAGATATCAGCCAATATCTAGATATATTAGCAGGAGAGACTCTACTGACCACAGAAAGATCTGGGAGGGAGTCAGGATGTTATTTCAATTCTTAATAAATATCTCTGGAAGTTCAAATGCTTAATCTATTTTTGATTAAATGCGTACAGAAAAGAAATCAAAATTTTTATATCAGAACAAAATCTGCCCACAGCTCTGTCTTTGGTCAGCATTCCAAATAATTTTGGTATTCATATACCAAAGAAATAAAATACCATGAAAAGATATGCAGCTTTTAAAAGTTTACTTGTTTTACATAACAAGGGCTGTATATGGCATAATTTGAAATTGGCAAAAGGAATAGTGGTATTGAAATATACAAATAATATTTTAAACCTTGCAGAAATTATGTGATGTGTTATTTTTTATTTAATAATTACTTTTCATTCAGAGTGCAACATACAAAGATATTATTGTATAGCAGTGTAAAAATCTGCAATAACAGATTAGTGGACAAATGCACAGTATTTGTTTATTTTTTATTCTCTTAAACCCATGGCTGCAGTCACCAGCATGTTGGAATAATACATTTCACTTAGCTGATATATAAATACTTTCTATTTTTGTTTTCACTTTTAATCATGACATATTTTTAAGGATACATTTTAGAAATAAATGAGGTAGTTAAGTGTAGGACTTTGAATTCCTCAGAAGAAAACCATTATACATACACACAGACATGAGTGGATTTATAAAGAAAATTACTCTGGACTGGAACTGGTGTGATATTCCTTTGAGCAGCCTGATAATAATGTAATTATTTTCCCTGTCACTTATTATTGGTGTTAACAATTTACAAAAGAAGGTAAGAACTTTCTCGTAAGGTATATCAATGATTTTCAGCATCTGGCTTTAGAAATGTTTTACGTATAAAAATAGAAGAGAAATTGGTTGGCTTTGACAATTTTTGCACTATTAGTTAAGAAAATACTGTAAAGTTGCCTTTTCTTCAAGCCTAGTGGCTGCCTAGTATTGCATCACATCATTCTCATGAATAAGGTGGCCATTACTGTATGACATGCTCTAAGGAGGCTGTTAAGTCACAGCAAAGTATAATGAGAAGAGCCACTGAGAACAAGCAAATAAAGATTGCAATTATGTGTCCTTGCAAAGGACACGTCTCCTTTACTTCTATAGGAAAGGTATGACCAAGATGGAAAAAGCTAAAATTCTGAAGAACTCCAAATAAAATGTGTATAACCCTTATTCACAATTCTTAAATGATAATTTATCTTAATTATTTTTAATATAGGGAGGTTTTTGCATTAAAGTTCATTATTTTACTCATGAATAAATCAAAGTAAGATAAATATTGTGTTTCAATTCACAGACTAGTTAACTATCTTACAAATATATAAAGGATTAGATAACACAAAATAAAAATAAATAAGTTTTTTTTTTTTTTTTTTTTTTTTTTTTGAGACGAAGTCATGCACTGTTGCCCGGGCTGGAGTGCAGTAGCGTGATCTTGCCTCACTGCAACCTCCATCTCCCGGGATCAAGCGATTCTCCTGCCTCAGCCTCCCAAGTATTTGGGTTTACAGGTGCCCACCACCATGCCCAGCTAATTTTTTTTGTATTTTCAGTAGAGACGGGGGTTTCACCATGTTGCCCAGGCTGGTCTTGAACTCCTGACCTCGTGATGTGCCAGCCTCAGCCTCCCAAAGTGCTGGTATTACAGGCGTGAGCCACCGCCCAGCCGAATAGTTCTTTTTAAGGCATTACTAATACTCGACCAACAAACCAACTGTATACCAATAATACATTTTTTTCTAGTGCCTTTTAGTTTTCCGCACGTCTTTTCTTGGCTAAATAGTTCATTTATTATTAGCAGTAAATAATATTCCATTTTCTGAAGACACTACAGTTTATCCTTTAACTCACTAAGGGACATCTTGGTCACTTCCAAGTTTGGGAGTTCATGGATAAAGCTGTTATAATAACCTTTTTGCAGGAGTTTTTGTGGACATGTTTTCACATATTTGAATATACACCTAGGAGCTTGGTTGTTGAAACAGTATAGTGAGCATGTTTACTTCTGTCAAAAAAAAAAAAAAAATCTGTCTTCCAAGGTGGCTGTACTATTTTGTGATTTCCCCCAGGAAGGGATGAGAGCTCCTGTTACTCCCCATGTATGTCAACATTTAGTGTTGTCAGTGTCCTGGATTTTAGTTATGTTAATAAGTGTGTAATGGATTCTCATTATTGTTTTCTTTTCCATTTCCCTGATGACATGTGGTATATAGCATCTTTTCAGATGTTTATTTGCCACCTATGTATCTCATTTGGTGAATTGTCGAGTAAAGTCTTTGGGTTTTTTTTTTATTCAGTTATTCAATTTCTTACTATTGAGTCATTGGGTTCAATTTCTTACTATTGAGTCAGTAGGTTCATTGCTTAGGATAAGAGTACTTTTTAAGATACTTCTTTGGGAAATGTTTTCTCCTCATCTGTGGTTTTCTCTTGACAGTGATTTTCAGAGAGAAAAATAATTAAATGTTAATAAATCTCAGTTTATCAATTATTTCTTGCATGGATCATACCATTGATGTAGTATCTAAAAAGTCATTATCAAACTCAAGGTCATCTAGATTTTCTCAATTATTACCTTTCAGAGGTTTAAATTTTTGCCTTTTACATTTAGTTTTGTGATCCATTTTTAGTTCATTTTGCAAGGTCATAAATTCTGTGTCTAGATTCATTTTTTTACCATGGATGTCCAGTTGTTTCAGCACCATTTCTTAAAAAAAAAAAAAATCTGTCTTTGCTCCATTGCATTGTCTTATTGTCTTTACTTCTTTTTCAAAGATTATTTGACTATATTTATGTAGATGCTTTCCTGAACTCTCTTTTCTGTCTCCTTAATTTGTTTGTCTATTATTTAGTCAATGCCACACTGCCTTCAATAATTGTAGCTTTATAGTTATTCTATGGTCAGAAAGTGGTAGTCCTTCAACTTTGTTGTTTTTTAACATTGTGTTGGCTATTCTTGCTTTTTTACCTCTTCATATAAACGATATAATCATTTGGTTGCTATCCACAGTATGACTAGCTGGGATTTTGATTGGGATTACATTAAGCCTATAGTTCAAGTTGGGAAGAACTGACATCTTCAAAATTGTGTATCTTCCTATCCATAAACAAACTCTTCATTTATTAGTTCTTTTATTTCTTTCATTGGAATTTTGTGGTTTTCATAACATATAAGCTGTGCTTTTTTTAGATTTATACCTCTGCATTTCTTTTCTTTGGGTGCCAATGTAAAGATATTGTGTTTTTAATTTTAAATTATACTTGTTCATGGCTGGTACATAGAAATATAATTGACTTTTTTGTAGTAATCTTATAACTTACAACCATGGAATAATTTTTTATATGACCAAGGAGGTTTTTGTTGATTCTTTTTTTATTTTCTACATAGATGATCATGTCATATGTGGATAAAAACGGTGCAATTTTTTGTTGCCAATCTGTATATGTTGTATTTCCTTTTCTCGTCTCACTTCGTAAGCTTGGATTTCCGGTATGGTGAGAGGGGACATTCTTGTTTTGTTCCTAAAATTAGTGGGAAAGCTTTTATTTTTCTCACCACTCAGTATGATATTAACTGTAGGTTTTTAAATGATATTCTTTATCAATTTAAGGAAGTTTCATTCTATTTCTTGTAGACTGAGAATTTTTATCATGAATAAGTGTTGGATTTTGTCAAATGTTTCTCTGCATCTATTTATATTTCCCCATGATTGTATTTTCTTTAGCCTGTTGATATGATGAATTCCATTTACTGATTTTCAAATGTTGAACGATTCTTGTATATTTAGGATAAATCCAACTTGGTTGTGGTTTGTAATTCTTTTTATATATTACTAAATTTAATTTACTAATATTTTATTGAAGACTTTTGGCAACTATGTTCATGAGAGATATTGGCCTACAGTATTTTTTTTCTATGACGTCTTTGTCTAATTTGGGTATGGGATTTGTTTTCCTAATTTTTTTGGCTGGCTTTTTGTTAGTATATAGAAATGCAGTTGATTTATTTGGATGTTGATTTTATATCCTGAAACTTTACTGAATTTGTTTATTTGTTCTAGCAGTTTTTTGTGTGTAGGCTTTAGTGTTTTCTACAGAGAAAATCATGTCATCTGCCAAAAGAGATAATTTTACTTTCTTTTCAATTTGAATACATTTTGCTTGTTTTTCTTGCCTAGTTTCTCAACCTAGGGTTTTCAGTAATATACTTAATAGAAGTGGCAAATGAAGATATTCTTGTCTTGTTCATTATTTTAGAAGAAAAGCTTTCAGTTTTTCACCATAGTCTATAATGTTATCCGTGGATTTGTTATATATGGCCTTTATTATGTTGAACTGTATTCCTTCTATACGTAATTGGATACACATTTTTATCATGTAAGAGTGTTGGATTTTGTCAAACACGTTTTCTGCATCTACTGAGAAGATCATGTGATTTTCATCCCTCACTCTATTTAAGGCAGTATATTGCATTAATTGATTCACATATGTTGAACTATCCTTTCATCACAGGGATAAATCCCTTTGTTCATGGTATATAATGCTTTTATTGTGCTGTTGAATTAGGGTTGCTAAAACTGTGTTGGGAAATTTTGCATCTATATTCATGATGTATGTGGCTCTGTCATTTTCTTTTTTTTCTGTCATTGTCTGGCTTTGGTATTTGTTTTAGCAAATTAAGTGTACTCATATACGCATATTTGAAATGCAAATGCTTTTTCTCTATAAGATGGAGTTAATCTCTATAAGATGGAGTTAATGTCAATAAAATTACTTAACAAGAAAAATTTGACTTCTTCCTTTCCAGTTTAAATGCCCTTCATTTATTTCTCTTGTCTAATCGCTCTGGGGAAATTGCAGTATTACATTGAATAAAAGTAGTGAAAGCAAGCGTTCTTATCTTGTTCCAGAACTTAGAGAAAAAAATTTCAATTTTTTTTTTCATTCAGTATGATGCTAGCTCTGTGTTTGAAATATTAATATATGGCCTCTATTGTTTTGAGGTATGTTATTTCTATACCCAATTTGTTGACAGTATTTTCATCATGAAGGGATGTTGAATTTTATAAAATGCCTTTTTGGCCAAATGATCACATTGTTTTTATCTTTGATTCTAGCAATGTAATGTATCACATTTATTGATTATCATATGTTGAACCATTCTTAAATCCCTGGAATTATGCTTGATCATAGTGAATAACTTGTTTACTGTGTTGTTGAATTCAATTTGTTAACATTTTTTAAGGAATTTTGAAATCATGATTTTCAGAAATATTAACCGGTACTTTTCTTTCTTTACTGTATCTTTGTCTGATTTTATTATCAGGGTAATGATGGTCTAGTAACTGAGTTTGGAAGTATGCCCTTCCCCTTCAATTATTTTATTTTATTTTATTTTATTTATTTTATTTTATTTTATATTTTATCTTATTTTTGACGGAGTCTAGCTCTGTCACCCGGGCTGGAGTGCAGTGGCGCGATCTCGGCTCACTGCTCAATGCAGCCACCACCTCCCGGGTTCAAGCAATTCTCCTACCTCAGCCTCCTGAGTAGCTGGGACTACAAGCGTGCGCCACTATGCCCAGTTAATTTTTGTGGGGTTTCACCATGTTGGTTGGCCAGGATGGTCTCCATCTCTTGACCTTGTGATCCGCCCGCCTCAGCCTCCCAAAGTGCTGGGATTACAGGCGTGAGCCACCGCGCCTGGCCGAAGTAGTATTAGCTTTTTAAGTGTTTGTTAAAACTCAGCAGTTAAACCATAGGATCCCAAGCTTTGTTTATTACGGCTATTGATCGATTACTTTGTAAGACAGCAGTATAGTATTAAGATATCAAAATATTTTGTACATTTGTCAATTTTACATTTTAGCTGTTTTGTGTCAAATTTTAAACACTTTTTTTTTTTTTGAGATGGAGTCTCGCTTTGTCGCCCAGGCTAGAGTGCAGTGGCGTGATCTCAGCTCAGCAGCGGCCACCTCTGCCTCCTATGTTCTCTCTTGCCTCACCCTTCCGAGTATCTGGAACTATAGGGGCGTGCCACCATTCCCGGCTAATTTTTTTGTATTTTTAGTAGAGACAGGGTTTCACTGTGTTAGCCAGGATGCTCTCTATCTTCTGATCTCGTGATCTTCCCGCCTGGGCCTCCCAAAGTGCTGGGATTACAGGTGTGAGCCACTGCACTGTCCCAAAGCAAAATCTTTTACTCATGAAGTAGTTTGTCCTCATTCTCCCCCTCTTCAGCCACTGACAACCAACAACCTGTATTTTGTCTATTCTAGATATTTTATGCAAAAGAATAATAAAATGTTTGACCTTTTGTGTCTAGTTTCTTTGACTTAACAAAATGTTTTGATGGTTTATCCACATTGTAGCTTGTATCTGTGTTTGTGTGGGGTGGGGGTTGATGAGAGAGAGAGAATATAATGACAAATTTAATTTACTTTTTTTTAGATTTTCTCACATATTTACTTTCTGGTGTTCTTCATTCCTTTCTGACTTCCATCTGGTATTATTTTTCTTATACTGTAGGTACTTCTTTTAGCATTTCTTGTAGTGCAGGTCTTCTAAAGACAAATTATCTCAGATGTCTGTTTTAAAAGGTCTTCAATTTGCATAATATTTTACATATATTAATTTTTACTTCTTATTATGCTCCACATTGTTAATGAATTTTTATTCTTTTAACACTTTAAACATTATTCCATTGTCATTTTGAAGCTATTGTTTCTGATGGAACTTGGTCATCATTCTTATTATTGTTACTCTGTGTAATGTGTCCTTTTAGATGTTATTTTTAAAGATTTCTTCCTTTCTTCAGTTTCAGATTTTACACTGATAGGCTTGTTGGGTTTTCTTTGTATTCGTATTTTTTAGGTTTGTCTAATTTTTTGTTCTTTTTGTTTTTTTAATTATACTTTAAGTTCTGGGGTATACATGCAAATGTGCAGTTCTGTTACATAGGTATGTACGTGCCATGGTGGCTTGCTGCACCTATCAACCCGTCACCTACATTAGGAATTTCTCCTAATGTTATCCCTCCCCCAGCCCTCCACCCCCTGACAGGCCCTGGTGTGTGATGTTTTCCTCCCTGTGTTCATGTGTTCTCTTGTTCAACTCCCACTTATGAGTGTGAACATGTGGTGTTTGGTTTTCTGCTATTGTGTTAGTTTGCTGAGAATGATGGTTTCCAGCTTCATCCATGTCTCTGCAAAGGACATGAACTCATCCTTTTTTATGGCTGTATAGTATTCCATGGTGTATATGTACCACATTTTCTTTATCCAGTCTATTATTGATGGATACCATCTCACACCAGTTGGAATGCTGATCATTAAAAAGTCAGGAAACAATAAATGCTGGAGAGGATGTGGAGAAATAGGACTTCCCTTACACGGTTGGTGGGAGTGTAAATTAGTTCAACCATTGTGAAAGTGTGGCAATTCATCAAGCATCTAGAACTAGGTTTGTCTAAATTTTTTTGTTCTGTTGTTTCATATTTCAACAATTGTAGAAAAGTGTTGGTTTTTTTATATACATGAATTTGTTGTCCAATAGCATTCATTTATTTATCCCTAAGACTTCAGTTAAACATGTGATATGTCTACAGTCCCTAGAGAATCTATGTTTTGATACTCTTTGTTTGGCTTTCAATTTGAATAATTTCTACTGCAATCTCTTCAAATTCAAGTGTTACATAGATTTTATTCACCTATGTTTTGCTAAATTTTGCTCCTAAATTTTCACACATTAATTTTTTAACTTAATCCTTTAAGATATTTGAATATTTATAGCCCTTGTATGACAATTTACACATCTGTACTGTCCCTTGGTTTGTTTCAATTGACCTATTTCTCTTTGTAATAAGGTCAAATTCTAACTTCTTTCCAAATATCATAATTACTTATTGCATGTCCTATATTCTAGGAAGAGGCAAAGATATGCAATTCTTATTCCAGAGAAGTGAAAAAGAAATAGACTGCGGGTAAACAGATTTGGGTAATTATCATATACTTCTTTAGAGATTAATACTGCATGTGGTCATACTGAAGGGTTTAAAACATTCTATGATAAACCAATCTATTTAACTCCCTGAAGCAATTAATGTTTCACATCTGCTTATCTGACCACAGAAATTGAGGAAAAGCTTGTTATATCCTGCTCAACTTTTGTTTGGTAAATGCTGAATTAGGCTATTGAAAAAGAAAAAATAAGTAAAGGTGTTTTTTACTAATGCTTAGCACTTAATTGTTGTGGAAAGGGCTTTGTCACTGTAGATTAATTACTTCATTAAAACACATCTGAATGTGTAAGAAGAGCAGCATACTTGAAATTAATAAAAAATTGTAAATTATATATTTATTATTTTGATAAATTGGACATTTCGCAAGGTTCTAAGGGGCCGCATAGTCCAGATTTTGTTTCAATTATTTTGTCACAAAATGATGGTAGTTTAATTTGGTTAACTTGTAGGACATTTATAAATAGAAGTATTTCCTTACACAACTTGTGTACTTTGATTTTAAAAGTGTCATTCTACAATCTACAAGAAAATGCATTCATATGTATGAATTTATGTAGAATAAAAAGTAAATAAGAACATCTGATTTCTATGTTCTTCTAAGAAATGTCCAATTAAAAATAAGAGTGGCAGTGTCCAAAGGTAATGACTGGAAGCTAAAATGTCAGAAGACCTTGGTCCTGGTGTAAATTATACCACACTATTATTCAAAAGAGAGAAGAGAGTTGTAATAGTGTATATGCAATTTTTCATAGGTTTAACTTCCACTTCAATGCCAAAGTATCTCATAAGGTCAGACAAGAACTACAAATTAAAGATTCCACTGAAGAAAATTTTCAAAATATGTCTAAACAAAATTTATAATGCATATTTTAAAAAGTATGGAGCAGCTAAAAATATAGAGAGGATTCAAGTTAGTTAAAATCTAAGAAAGTATAAAATAAAGCAAGATGACCCCTCCAAGGGCAGATGAAAAAATGTGTATTCTAGTCCCTTGTTAAAGTAAGCTACTTTGAAGGATATCAGTGAACTTGAAGCAAGCCAGTCTTCACCAACAGTGAAACAAGGGTGGCTTCCAGGTTTCCAAGAAAATGTCAAATCCTAAAACTGGTGATTACGTAACTTATGTCTATAGAATGACAGATTTGACAGTGTAAGGAGACAATAAAAATAATCAAATTTATATAACATTTTACAAACATGCTGTCAACCAACAACTTTGTTGTACATTACTTATAGCATACCTATAGCATATATCCTTCAAAAATTATTTTCAAAACATAAAAGTATATATGAAAAAATACCATATGTATGCATATTAAAAGAAAATTAAATACACTGGGTAACTTAAATTCTTAAAATAGCGTAAAATTATTCTTAATATTCATTTACTTAATTTAATACTCAGTCAAATATGGCTTTAATAATTTTAGTAGTATCTTGAGTTTTTTTAAATATTGTCTTAAGCGTTTTAATTTTTCCAAAATTACCAGCATTTTTTTTTCAAAATTGCATATTGTGGTTAAGATGAAGTTAAACTTTAATTTTTATCTCTGTTTACATTTCTTCTAATGTTCATATGATTTTACATTGAGAAACTACTAACTCTTAAGTTGTCAATTCATAGTAAACTCAACAAATTCTGCTACATGCAAGTTATTCTCAAGTCGATATTTTTTTTAATTTGGACTGTAAATAGTTTGGCAAAAATATTTTACATATTACTGTCTTTTTGCTCCTATTTAGAATACCTTTCTTTATCAAACACTTTTACAAGTCAAAATTTACAGTATTTCTTTATAGTTATTGAGTGTTTTGCAAATTTGATTTGCAAATTTATAGGCGTTTTCAACTTTAGTCCATCATGGTTGAATATTTATTTAGCCCACAAGGAAAGAATACATATAAAAAAGAAATATTGTTACCGGTTGAAATACTTCAGAAGAGCAAATGTTAAATTTCAAAATTAAACTTTATATTCCATTTAAAATTAAATTTTTACATTTTAATTGTTTGCTTTTATAGGGATAATTTTAGTGTTACTACAGAATTTTTATTTGCATTTTCTCTGCAAAAGTGAGTGATATTTTTTCTTAATGTTGACGTTTTAAACCTGATTTACAATAAAATTTACAACAATGTTGGATGTTTCACTTTGAACAAATGAACTTCCAAAAGATTTACTTTGATTATGTCAGTTGTTTAAGAAGATCATATTATTATTGCACTTTACTGACTTCTATTTGAAGCATCTGAGGACTCTGCTATCACATGATAGCAGAGGGAAGAAATGTATTAATTTATAAAAGTAAAATACACTCAATTTTAAATTTTACAGCATAATTGATTTAATGTTACCTTATAAAACATAGTTTTAAAATAAGCTTATTTACTATATAAATATGACTTATACTTCTTACCTGTGAGCACATTAACATGCTGGTGCAATTCACTGAATAATCAAAAGTGCAGCTCACAAGTCAGTTTTCTATACATATGATCAATTTTTGAAATTGCAGGTTGTTTTAGTGTGAAATGTTATATGAAATTTCTCCACTCTTGTAAATATTAGTTTGTAGTAAAAAATTTACAGATTGGGATGTAGTCAAAAAAGAGAAAAACAAAATACAATAGAGTATGTATTTAATGTTAAAATTTATTTTTTGGAACTCTGAAATATATTCTGTTGAACAAAAGACAAAAGAGTATATTTTTAAAGAAATAGTTACATCTTAAGTGGTCAAAAGTTTTAAGTTCCGTTTGTTTGTTTTTTTTCCCTCTAAGATTTTTTTTTTTTTTTTTGGAGTCTTGCTCTGCGGCTGGGCTAGAGTGCAGAGGCGCGATCGCGGCTCACTGAAAACTCCACCTTCCGGGTTCGAGTGATTCCCCTTCCTTAGTTTCCCACCTATCTGGGACTACAGGCGCACACCACCATGCCCAGCTAATTTTTTGTATTTTAGTAGAGACGGGGTTTCATCATGTTGGTCAGGATGGTCTTGATCTCCTGACCTCGTTATCTGCCCGCCTCGGCCTTCCAAAGTGCTGGGATTAGAGGCGTGAGTCATCACACCCGGACAATTATACTGATTTATACAGCCAAAAGTCTTCAAGCTGCTGTAATACATCCAGTAGTGGTAAACTGAAGAATATCCACAGAATAAAATTCATCAAGAACCTGTTCATTAAACAGCAACGCTTTGAGTTGCTGGGACTGGGAGATGTTTAAATGGTGAACACATAGGAAAGCTAAATGGGCCCAAGCTAAAGGAGAAATATTTTCAGGAAATTATTCGTCACACAAATTGGGGTAGAATTTATCCTCCTATGCCTAGAGAACACAGAGGATGCTCATGGGATCAGACATAATGCAGCCAGCATTGAAGACAGATTGGTTAAGATGAAGAGTCAGTATTTCGATTCGTTAAAGTTAGCCTTCAGAGTTTCAAAAACAAAAGCAAAAACACTGAGGGGAAGCTAAGCCTTCCACAGAAACCATCTGATAGAGAGTCACTATGTAAAGATGCCCTTAAAAGGTTTTCAGCAACAGCACAGGCAGAAACCTTTCTGTCTTCAGTGAAGGGATGTAACAGTGAGAACCTTGAATTTCAGCATAAGTTACATGGAATATAGAGAACTGGAATGCCAATTCTGAAAATGAAACTAGAACCGTTCTCTTAGACAAGAGTTTCTCAACCCTTTTTCTTATGTTAACATCACCTAAAAATGTCATAAAGTGACAATAATCAAGTACAAATTAAAATTATAATTCCCATGTGATTCTAATTGGCTGTCAGGTTTGCTACCGATATAAGCAGTTAAAATTTATCACAAGATTATTTTTTAAGACAAAACTGGACGGTTATGTCAGATCACACTTTTTAATATATGTAAGTGATAAAGTACAGTAAAAAAAACCACCAAGAACTTAATCCATATTCTAACAAAATAAAGTATAAATTATTTATCAAGAAAACCACACTCCATGGGCAATCTTGGAACACTTCGATAGGAGAAAATTTGTGAAAACTTGCTACAGTGTTTCAGGTTGTTCTGGTTGATTTGAAGATGAGCTTAAGAGAGTGAGGGTGTATTCTGGACTGGCTTCTCTCAGGAGGCAGATGTAATGTGATGGTTAGCCTAATTATTTTTAACTCGAAAGTGAAAGAAATTAACATGTGTTATCTGTCATTTGTTAGTAAGGAGAAAACCCTCAGTGAGCCAAGAAACAGGAGAATATTCGTTTATTATCGTGGTGGCACAATATCCTTTTATTTGACTTATGTTTAGAAATGAGGTCAGCCTGATCTTATTTTTCAATGTGTCAAATATTTTTGATGTTCTGTGAAATTTTTGTTGTATCAAGTTCAACATTCCAACTTTGAGCTGTCAGTGCTCAGAGCCTTTTACCCTCATATACTCACATAACTAAATAAGATACATAATTGCATTTTATCATGTGTTTAATTATCTTCAATAAATCTTGTTATGGGAGATATCATCAGTGTGATGGTGGAATAAGAGCTCTCCAGCTTCACTCTAGCCACCCCCAAAAGTAATCCAACTAGCAACAATCCACAGGCAAAAAAATACCATCCTGAAAATTCCAAAAGTCGGGAGTGAGGCTAAGACACCCCTTTCGACCACAAAACCAAAAAAAGTTGTAATCAAACAGTAAGAAGAACAGTTCTCTCTGACCATTCCAATGTGCTCCCCAGCTGACACAGTGACACACATAGATATTTCTCCTGTACTCATGGTTTCTGCAGTAGAAAAAGGGAGTTGGAGGTGAACATTTAGCTTCTGTACCATTCCTGGATCCATCACAGGCATCTCACTCCTGTCTCCTCTCACTAGAAACACCGGGAGTACCATCAGGGCTAGATCATCTCGGGTCAGAAACAAAGAATGGGTGTGGAATTCACAACAATCAATGCATGGTACTGGGTGGTTGCTCTGCATTCTGGCCAATGGACCACACCACAGAGCTAGCCAAGGCATTACACTACAGGAAATAGAATCCATTGGTTTTCCAAGCTGGAATTCCTAGCTGGCTTCCCCACACTGCCCAGCTGTCTTGTTAAGACTTTAACTTAACAAGTTAAGTTTGAGAGGCAACTGTAGGTCAGAAAATACTTGTACAAAGAACATCTGGCCCTGCCAAATCTTATCAGTGGAGAGGTAATCCATCTATGTTTTGCTACTAATGTGTCCAGAATTGGTTCCTTCCAGTGGGTTCTTGGTCTCGCTGACTTCAAGAATGAAGCCATGGACCCTCACAGTGAGTGTTACAGTTCTTAAAGATGGTGTGTCCGGAGTTTGTTCCTTCAGATGTTCTGATGTATCCAGAGTTTCTTCCTTTCAGTGGGTTTGTGGTCTTGATGACTTCATGAGTGAAGCCACAGACCTTCACAGTGAGTGTTACAGCTCTTAAAGGTGGCATGTCCAGAGTTGTTTGTTCCTCCCAGTGGGTTCGTGGTCTTGCTGACTTCAGGAATGAAGCCGCAGACCCTCACCATGAGGTTATAGCTCATAAAGGTAGTGCAGACCCAAAGAGTGAGCAGCAGCAAGATTTATTATGAAGAGTGAAAGAACAAAGCTTCCACAGCATGGAAGGTGACCCAAGCGGGTTGCCACTGCTGGCTGGGGTGGCCAGCTTTCATTCCCTTATTTGTCCCCACCCATGTCCTGCTGATTGGTCCATTTTACAGAGTGCTGATTGGTCCGTTTTACAGAGTGCTGATTGGTGCATTTACAAACCTTTAGCTAGACACAGAGGGCTGATTGGTGCGATTTTACAGAGTGCTGATTGGTGCATTTATAATCCTCTAGCTAGACAGAAAAGTTCTCCAAGTCTCCACCCTACCCAGAAGCCAAGCTGGCTTCACCTCTCACTAACATTAAGTCTTCCTCATAGGAGAAAGCAAATGCAGGCCAACGATTACTAACAGAGGGAGCTTCTGACCCTTCTCAATTCTAGTAGTAGTATGGTGACCCCACCAAACTTCATTGCTCGGCTTCAGCCTACCCTAGACTTGGAGGCAAATGCAAGTCCACATATTATCTGTGCAGCATAGCTTCCCATTCTACCTACCTAACAGGGCTGAGCAGCAACCCAGAGACATTGCTTAGTCTTGGAGCTCATCACATGGCCCTGCCCAACTACAGATTCCAAATAACAGTATCTCCCAGCCAGGGAAAACAACCTTCAACTCTGCCCAGTCGGAAATGATTGGAGAGCCCCTCCAGCAGCCCCACCTAAAAAGTAGAGTCGTCAGTGGTCTTTCCAGACCAGGGAGAACAGCCAGAAATATTATTTTACCTCATAGCACAGGAAATGGACCAGAAAACCTTAAGAACCTCATGCCAATATCTGCCTCTCTGGTATTGCTACCTGTCAGCCCATATAGAATCCCAGGCTAGACTAATTAATAAAGGTATACTACCACCAAAGAATACCAGAAAAGACCAAAGTAAGTTGTCATCATCTCAAATGCTTAGGCATCAAAATAAGGACTTAAGAATTATGAAATATCAGAACAATGACACCACCAAAAGAAACTAATAAAGCTGCAGTAATTAACACAGAAGAAATTGAAATCTGTAATATGATTGACAAAGTATTCAGAATAATTATCTTAAAGATATTTATGAGACTATAATACCATATGGATAGAAAATTAAATAAAATTTGGAAAACAATATATGAACAAAATGAGAGGCTTGAAGAAGAAACAGAAACAAGCTGAGCACTGTGGCTTATGTCTGTAACCCCATGGAGGCTAGGAATCAGAGGCAGGAAGATTTCTTGAGCCTAGGAGTTCAAGACCAAGTTGGTCAACATAATAAGACCTTGTCTCTACTAAAAAATAATTTTAAAAAATTAGCCAGGCACAATGACTCACATCTGTGATTCCAGCTACTCAGAGACTGAGGTGGGAAGATCACTTGAATCTGGCAGTTGGAGCTTGCAGTGAGCTATGATTGTGCCACTGAACTCCAGCCTGGGAAACAGATTGAAATTCCGTCTCAAAAAAAGAGAAAATAATAGAAACAATAAATACATAGAAACTCTAGAAATAAAATATACAATAACAACTGAAAAATTCAATAGAAAGCTTCAATAGCAGACTTAATTGGGCAGAAGACCAGTGTGCTCAAAAATGTCTGAAATTATCCAATCAAGGAGAAAAAGAAATAATAAAGAAGTCATACGGAAATTTTGTAACATCAGCAGAACTAACTTTTGCATAATAGATGTTTATTAAATATAATAAAGACAAAATAGCCTAAAAGGTATATTTAAAGAAATAATGGCTAGAATATTCTCAAACCTGTGGAGAGATGATAAAATCCAGGTTAAAGAAGCTCAAGAATTGCTAGTAAAATTCAAGTGAAAGAGGAGTTTAATAAACACACCATAATAAAATTATTAAAAATCAAAGACAAAGAAACATATTACATTCTAAGGAAACCAAATATGGCTTTCACCGTCTTTCTCAGCACACACCTTGCAGACCAACAGAGTAAAATGATATATTCAAAGTGCTGAAGGTGAAAAAAGAAAACAAAATTGTCCACCAAGACTATTTTTCCCAGCAAAGCTGTCCTTCAGAAAGGAGGGATAAATAAAAACTTTCACAAACAAAAACTAATGGAATTCATCATCACAAGGCCTGAGTTACAGGAATCACTAAAGGGAGCTCTTTGTTATGAAATAAAAGGCTTCTAATTAAAACAAAAAAATGAAAATAAAACCTCAATGATATTAGTAAAATAGTCATACTCAACATTCTCTTATACTATAAATATGGTATATAAAGCAATAGAAAAATATTTAAAACAACTGTAGCTACAATAAATTGCTAAAAGACACAGATTACAAAGCCAAATATAAATTATGCTACCAAAATTATAAAAGATGGGGAAGAGAGAGTGAAAGTGTAAAATTTTGTATGCAATTAAAGGCAAGTTGTTATCAGTCTTATATAACATATTGTAAGGATAATATATTTTATATAAGCCTTATTGTAATCTCAAAGCAAAAACAAAATATAAAAAGAAAGATGTCAAACCATACCATCACACAGCAAAGTAAGAAATCAAGAGAGAAAGAAAGAATCAAGAGATCTACAAAACAATCAGAAAACAAATTGCAAAACGACAATAGCAGGTCTTTACCTATCAGTAATTATCTTGTATGTAAATGGACAAATTCCCCTATTAAAAAACAATGGTTGGATAGACTTTTTTTAAAGATCTAACCAAATGCCGCCTATAAGAGACTCACTTTACTAGTAAGGATATACACAAACTGAAAGTGAAAGGATGGAAAAGATCACACAAATGAAAACCAAAAGTGAGCAAAGATAGCTATACTTATATGAAACAAAAAAAATTTAGGTCAAACATTATAAAAAGAGACAAAGAGGGTCACTACATAATGGTAAAAGGGTTAACCCAACAAGAAGACATAACAGCTATAATCTTGTATGCACCCAACTTTGGAGCACGTAAATACATAAAGTCTTGTTGGATTACAGTGGCATAAAACTACCAACAATAACAGAAGAAATCTTGGAAAATACATAAATGTGTGAAAATTGAAGAACAGGCTACTAAACAAGCAATTGGGCACAGAAAAAATTGAGAGGTGAAGGCAGCTAGACTTCCTGGGTCAAGTGGGGACTTGGAGAACTTTTCTATCTTACAAGAAGTTTGAAAAATGCACCAATCAATGCTCTGTAAAAAACACACCAATCAGTGCTCTGTAGCTAGCCAGAGGTTTGTAAAATGGACCAATCAGCACTCTGTAAAATGGAGCAATCAGCAGGACATGGGCAGGTACAAATAAGGGAATAAAAGATGGCCACCCTAGCCAGCAGCAGCAACCCACTCAGGTCCCCTTCCATGCTGTGGAAGCTTTGTTCTTTTGCTCTTCGCAATAACTCTTGCTGCTGCACACCCTTTTGGTCCATGCCACCTAACACTCACCACGAAGGTCTGCAGCTTCATTCTTGAAGTCAGTGAGACCACAAACCCACTGGAAGGAACCAACTCTGGACACAAAATCAAAGAGAAAAATAAGAAAGTGCCTTGAGAAAAATTAAAATAGAAACATTACATACTAAAACTTATGGGATAGAGCAAAAGCAATCCTATGAGGGAAATTTATAGCCAAAAAACCCTATATATATTAAAATATTTTATATATGTATATAATAGTATAAATCACAAATAGCTAATCTAATGTTACACCTTGAGAAACTAGAAAAAGAAGGGAAGACTGAGCCCAAAGCTAATAGAAGAAAATAACAAAGATCAGAGCAGAAATAAAAGAGAGACTAAAAAACAATAGAAAACAACAAATGAAACTAAGAGGCCTTTTAAAAAGATAAACAAGTGAGAGGTGAAGAATTATCTCAGAATAGAAAGCTCCTCAATCTTTTCCACCGCAAGAATATCAAGTTAACAACTATCTACACAGAAAAGACAAGTTCATAAGAACCAGGAATCAGGTGAGCACTCATAATACCTGGTTTTAAATTCTTATCACTGAAAGAGGCACTGAAGGGATAGAAATAAACAGTCCTAACTGACCGATGCCACCCCTTCCCAGTCCCCCAGCAGTGGTGGTCTGGTGTAGAGAGCATCTCTGGGCACTGGGGGAGGAAGAACCCAGCAATTGTGAGGCATTGAATTCAGCACAGTTCTGTTAGAGCAGAAAAGAAAACCAGACCAAATCAGCTGAACCCCTCTCACAAAGGAACCAGTTAAACCAGCCTTAGCCTGGGGGAAATTACCAATTGCAATGGTACAAACTTGAGTATCTGTAAACATTGTCACCACCAAGGGCCAAAGTTCTCTCACTCTCTAAGTAAACTTGAAAGGCAGTCTAGGCCATAAAGACTGCAACTCTTAGGTGAGTCCTTGGGCTAAACTAGGCCCAGAGACAGCAGATTGTTGGGACATGTGACTTGCTGAGACACTAGTTGGGGCAGGCAAGAGAGTGTTGGCATCACCCCTCCCCTAACCCCAGGCTGCACAGCTCACAGCTCCAAAAGAGACCTCTTTCTTCTGCTTGAGGAGAGAAGAGGGAAGATTGAGGAGGACTTTGTCTTGCATCTTGGATACCAGCTCAACCATGGAAGGATAGGGAACTGGTCAGTCATAAGGCCTCCGTTCCAGGGCCTAGATCCCAGGTGAAATTTCTAGACACACCCAGGGCCAGAAAGGGAACCCACTGCTTGAATAAAAGAACCTAGTCCTGTCAGTATTAATCGCCTGCAAATTGAGGAGCCCTTGGACCCTGAATAACCAGCAACGATAACCAGGTACTACATCAAAGGCCTTAGAGAGCCACTGAGACTTGCTGGCTTCAGGTGAGGCTCAAGACATTACCAGCTGTGGAGGTCACAGGGCAAAACTCCTGATTCGGAAAAATAAAGGGGACTTTGGCTTGCACCTTAGGTACCAATGCCACCACAGGAGGGTAGAGCACCAAGTGGGCTCTTGGGGTCCCTGATTCCAGGACTTAACTATTGGATAACATTTCTGGACCTGCCCTGGGCCAGAGGGGAGCCCACTGACTTGAAGGTTAAGTCCCAGGACAAGCTGCATTCACCACAAGCTGATTTAGAATACCTTGGACCTTAAGGAAACATCTGTGGTAGTGTGACAGCGTTCCTTGTGGCCAGGGGTGACAGTGGCTACTGGGTGAGGTTCCTCTGCCTTTGGGAAGGGGAGGGAAGAGTGATAAGGACTGTGTTTTGTGGTCAGAGTGCCAGCTCAGCCACAATATAATAGAACACAAGGTAGACTTCTTAGGTTTTTTTAGTCTAGTCCCAGACTCCCAGATGGCACTTCTGAAACCACCCAGACCTGAGGGACCTTGTCACGCTGAAGGGAAGGATACAGGCCTGACTGGCTTTGCCACCTGTTTCTTGTAGAGCCTCAGGGCCTTGAGTGAACATAGGCAGTTGCCATGGAGTGGTTACAGAAGGCCTTGGATGAGATCCAGTGCTGTGCAGGCTTCAGGTTTGACCCAGCAAATTCATAGTGATAGTAACCACAGGGGTGCTTATGTCACTCCATCCCCAGCTTTAGGTGACTCAGAACAGAGAGAGAGACTCTGAAAGTTTGGGAGAAAATAATGGAAGAAAACAAGAGTCTCTGCATGGTAATCCAAAAAAATCTCCTGGATCTTGGCCAAGGCCATCATGGCAGAACCTGTATAAATCTGCAAAACCCATAGCATAATTGGGCTTGGGGTGCCCCAAAGCAGAAATAGCTTAGACCACAACACTCAAGTCCTATCAAATATCTGGAAAGCCTTCCAAAGGACAACTACAAATAAGCCCAGACAGGGAAGACTACAATAGATACCTAACACTTCAATGCCAAGAGAACAAAGGGAATCTACTAATATCAACAACATCCAGGAAAACATGACCTCACCAAATGAACTAAACAAAGCACCAAGGACCAATCCTGGAGACATGGAGATATATGAACTTGCAGACAGAAAATTTAAAATAGATGTGTTGAGGAAACTCAAAAAAGGTCAAGATAAAACAGTAAAGAAATTCAGAATTCTAACAGATAAATGTAATAAACAGATTGAAATAATTAAAAGGAATTAAGTAGAAATTCTGGAGCTGAAAATGCAACTGGCATACTGAAGAATGCATCAGAGTCCTTTAATAGCAGAATGGATCAAGCAGAAGAAATAATTAATGAGCTTAAGGACAAGATATTTGACAATTCATGGTAAGAGAAGACAAAAGAAAAAAAGAATACAAAATAATGAAGCATGCCAACAAGATCTAGAAATGAGCTGCAAAACGGAAAATCTTAGAGTTATTGGCCTTAAAGAGAAAATAGAGAACAAGACAGGGGTAGAAAGTTTATTCAAAGGGATAATAATAGAGAATTCCCCAAACCTAGAGAAAGATATCAATATCCAAAGTATAGAAGGTTTTAGAACACAATCAGATTTAACCTAAAGAAGACTACCTCAAGGTATTTAATAATCAAACTCCCAAAGCTCAAAGATAAAGATACAATGCTAAAAGCAGCAAGAGAAAATAAATAAATAACATACGATGGAACTCCAATAAATCTGGCAGCAGACTTTTTAGTGGAAATCTTACAGGTCAGGAGAGAGTGGTATGACATATTTAAAGTGCTGAAGGAAACTAACTTTTACCCTGCAATAATATACTTGGCAAAAATATTCTTCAAACATGAAAAAGAAATTAAGACTTTCTTAGACAAGCAAAATTTGGTGGATTTCATCAACAGCAAACCTGTTGCACAAGAAATGCTTTCATTCAGAAAGCAAAGGACATTAGTAAGCAATAAATAAGCACTTGCAGGTATAAAACATACTAGTAATAGTAATCACACAGTAAAATACAGAGTGTTATAACATTGTGACTGTAGTGTGTAAATTACTCTGCCTTCAGTAGAAAGACAAAATGATAAACCAATATAAAATAATAACTAAAAATTTTCAAGACAGTCACTACAATAAGATATAAATAAAAACAAAAATTTAAAAAGCTGGATGATGAAGTTAAGGAGCGATTTTATTAGTTTTCTTTTGGCTAGTTTGTTTATGCAAACAGTGTTACATTGTTACCAAGTTAAAATAATGCATGATAATACAGTATATGCAAACCTCCTGGTAACCTGAAACCAAAAAACATACAATGTATGCACAAAAAATAAAAAGCAAGAAACTAATAACATCACCAAAGAAAATTGTCTTCACTAGAGGAAGACAAAAATGAAAGAAAGAAGAGAAGACCATAAAACAACCAGAAATCCAATAACAAATTGTCAGGAGTAAGTCCTTATCAATAATAACATGGAACGTAAATGAACTAAACTTTCCAGTCAAAAGACATAAACTGGCTAAATGGGTGAAAAACAGGACCCATTGTTCTGTTGCCTAAAAGAAACACACTTCACCTGTAAAGATACAAATAGACTAAAAATGAAGGGATGAAAAAAGATATTCCATGTCAATAGAAACCAAAAAAGAGAAGTCGCTATACCTATATCAGAGAAAATAGATTCCAAGACAAAAACTATAAGAAGAGATAAAGAAGGTCAATATATAATGATAAAAGGGATTAATTCAGCAAGAGGATAAAAAATTTTAAATATCCATGCACCCAACACTAGAGCACCCATGTATATACAGCAAATATTATTAGATCTAAAGAGAGAGGTAAGCCCCAATACAGTAAGAGCTGAATACTTCAACACCCCATGCTCTCAACACCACATTTTCATAATTAGACACATCTTTTAGATAGAAAAATCAACAAAGAAATGTCAGACTTAATCTGCACTACAGACCAAATAGATCTAATGGATATTTATAGAACATTTAATCCAACAGCTGCAGAATACATACTCTTCCTTAGCACATATATCATTTGCAAGGTAGACCATATGTTAGGTGACAAAACAAGTTCCTAAAACATTCAAAAAGTAAAATAATATTAATGTTATCTTCTCTGACCACAATGTAATAAAACTAGAAATTAATAACAAGAGAAATTTTGGAAACTATAACAATACACTGAAATTAAACAATATGCACCCAAATGACCAGTAGGTCAATGAAGAAATTAAGAAGAAAATTGAAAAACTTTTTGAAATAAATGGTAATTGAAGCACAGCATACCAAAGCCTGTGGGATACATCAAAAGCAGTACTCAGAGCAATTTATAGTTATAAGTGCCTACATCAAAAAAACAGGAAAAACTTCAAAAGAGCATTCTAACAATGCATCTTAAAGAATGAAAAAAGCAAGAGAAAAACCAAATTGAGAATTAGTAGAAGAAAAAATAATAATAAAGATGAGAGCAGAAATAAATAAAATTGAAATTAAAAAACAACACACAAAAAATCAATGAAACAAGAAGTTTTTTTAATGTTAAACAAAATTGACAAATCCTTAGCCAGATAAACAAAGGAAAAAAGAGAGAAGATCCAAATAAATAAAATCAAAAATGAAAAAGGAAATATTACAATAGATACTGCAGAATCCAAAAGATCACTAGGGGCTACTTACTATAGGCAACTATATGCCAATAAATTGGAAAATCTAGAAGAAATAGGCAAATTTCTAGATATATACAACCTACCAAAATTGAACAAGGAAGAAATCCAAAACCTGAACAGATCAATAACAAGTAATGAGATTAAAAACATAGTGGGAACTAATATTATTAAAATGTTCACAATACCCCAAATAATCAACAAATTCAATGTAATACCTAACAAAATTCCAGTCCTTTTTTACAGAAATGGAAAAAAGTTCTTAAATTTGTTTAGAATGACAAAAATATCTAATAGTCAAGATAATCTTGAACAAAAACCACAAAACTGAAGGCATCATACTACCTGGCTTCAAAATTTATTAGAAAGCTATTTTAACAAAACAGCACAACACTGGCATAAAAACAGACACAGTGACCAATAAAATAGAACAGAAAGCCCAGAAAAAAAAAAAAAAAACCCAACTGATTTTTAACAAAAGTATCAAGAACAAAAAAGGAGACAAAAAAAAATCTCTGTAATAAATAGTGATGGGAAAATGCTATCCACATAAGGAAGAATGAAATTTGACCCTTACCTTATACCATATTAAAAAATCAACTCAAAATGGATTAAAGAATTAAACATAAATCTAAACTTTATAAAACTTTTGACATTGTAAAAGTTTTAGTAAAAATCTAGGGTAAAATCACTGTGACATTGGTCTGGACAATGATTTTTTTGGATATAAACTTGAATGCACAGTCAACAAAAGAAAAAATAGACAAATTAGATGAATTCAAACTAAAAAGTTTCTGCAAAGCAAAGGAAACAGTTAACAAAGTGCAGAGACAACTCACTGAATATCAGAAACTATCTACAAAACATACATCTGATCATGGGTTAATACCCCAAATATATAAGAAACTCAAATAACTCTAGCGTTTTGTAAGCTGAGGCAAAGGAGCTGAACAGATATTTCTGAAAAGAAGACATACAAATGGTCAATAGATGCATTTTAAAAATGCTCAGCAGCACTAATTTTCAGGAAAATGAAAATTAAAATCACAATGACATATTACCTCACACCTGTTAGAAGTTTTTTTTTTTTTTTTCAAAAAGATGAAAGACAACAAATGAGAGGATGTGAAGAAGGAGGAATTCTTATACATTGTGGTGGGAATGTAAATTATTACAGTCCTTATAGAAAATGGCATGAAAGTTACTAAAAAACCTAAAAATAGAACTGCCATACAACCCAGTAATCCCTCTTCTGAGTGCATACACAAAGGAACTGAAATCAATATATGTCAGAGGGATATCTTCACTTCCATGTTCATTGAAGCATTAGTCACATGAGCCAAGATACGGAAACAATCTAAGTGCCTATCAAGAGATATGTGAATGAGCGGGAAGGCAAGAAAGAAGGGAATGAAAAGATAATCGAAGGGTACAAAACTTCAGATAGACAGGAGAAATAGATTTTTAGCTCTGTTGCTCAACAGCGTGTCTATTTTCAATAGTAATATATTATATATTCCAAAATAACTTAGGAAACTTTGAATGTTTCATCATTAAAATAATATATAAGCAAGGTGATGGATATGCTAATTAGCGTGATTTAATTATTCTACATTGTGTGTGTGTGTGTGTATATATATACATATATATATATACCTCACATTGTACCCCATAAATGTATGCAGTTATGTCAGTCAAAAAATATATTAAAAGAATATACAAATAAATTTACTTCATCAAAAAGAAATCTTACTATGTTTCTGTAAAATTTAGTATTAAAAATTACTTTCCAGGTTATATGCATAGAGAGAGTGGAGTAGAATTACCGTGTTTGGGTTCTAAAATGGAACATTGAAGAATAAGAAAACAATATCCCTCATGGCATGTTTTAACATGACCCATGTCTTCCGCATATTATAGTTTGCTTTGTTTTATATATTCACTGAAGATAACATAGGACATTAGTTTCTCCTTCCAGGCTTACAATAAATTCTAAGCCAAAAAATTTTTTCTATTGGCTGTGTGTCTACGTAGGTATATGTATCTGCAAATCAAAGAGGAAAATACTTTTTTATCATTTATAGGCTGTGCTAACCATCTCGTTAAAGGAGACTAAAATTTCGATGTAAGGGAAGTACTAATTTAAAATGAAATCCAGGATTGAGTTCATGAAAGGAAACTGGCAAAGAGACAGAAAGAATATGTCCACTTCTGGAGATCAAACAAACTAGATATTATAGATAAAACTAGTGCCTAAAAATTTATTCTGCATGAGATTAAGGAACGCTTTACTTGTGAATTTCCTGAAGTTAAGATGCCTTTTAAATATCATGAGGAAATACTCAACCCCAAACAGCAATAAAAATAAACACATATAACATAATATAGTAAAGGTAGTTCTCTGTGTCATAGAAAAAAATGTCACAAAATGAAAAAGTAAAGAAAGAGGAGAATAGTTAAAATGGTCATTCATTCATAAAAAGTTAAATTACAGAGTCAAGATGGTGTGAAAAATAACTCTCTATAATGAAGACAACTAGTTTGGAAAATAGCATTATGAAATTAAATCTAGAAAGGTAGACAGTCACAGATGCTTGTGAGTTCTGTAGAAAAAGTTAAGCCTTTTTTAAAGAATTGTCAACAGGAAATGTTCTCAGATTAAAGTAAAAAAAAGTCAAAGTCAGAGTAGCATTTGCAATGTTACTGAACTAGCAGTTGTGGTATGAATTCAAAAGAGGTAAATTAGAAGGTAACTCTTACAGTTAAGAGGTCACTGCAATAATCTAGAGAGAGAATGTTGGCGCAAAAATGTAAGGGAGAAGCAATGAGAATGGGGAGGATGAGATGAATGCGAGAAACGTTAATGAAGTGAAATCAAAATGCTTTGTGTGTTATTAGAGGACGAGGGGGAGATTACTCTTTTGTTTCTGATTTGCATGTCAGGGGAGGAAGGTGTCATTAACTAAGATTGGGAATCCAGAAGTAGGAGGAAGATTGAGAAGAGGGAAGAAAATAATGAAGTGAATAAATTAAATCTGAAATCTTTCAAAAGAGAGCTCAGTAGATACATATTTTCAGAATTATCTAGTGTATAAAATGGTACCTATAGGAGTGATAAAACCCTGGAGGAAGAAAAACAGAGGTTTAAAAAATGGGGAAAGTCACCAATATTAAAAGAACAGGCAAAGGATGAAGAGCAAACAGAAATGATGGAGCAGTGAGTGTCATGGAGGCGAGAAAGCAAACATTTGTTGCTATCTGAGCAACCACAGAAAGGAGCAGAGGGTGATGCCCAGAGTGAAATAGACAGGCAGCAATTACAGTGAGACTGCTAAGAGATCCCTGCATATAGCCATTAAAAGATCATTTTATATCTTAGAATATTTTAGTAGAATATAGAAGTGAAAACCAGATTGCAGTGGGTGGAAAGAGCAAATATGATGTGAGGAACACAAGAGAGAAAATATGCTCTCATGTTAAAAAAAAATCACACACACACACACGCACACACACACATACACACACACATACAAAGACCAAAAACTTGTTCTCTGGAAAAGAAAACTAGGGTGTCATAGCAAGGGAATCTTATGTTCGAAAAACAATGTCTTTTGTTTTTTTTAATACAACAAAGGTTTTGCTGTTTTTACTCATCAATAAGTAAATATTATTGAATACCTAATATGTGCCAGGTACTATGTAAAACTGACATCATACTATGTATGATATTGTTATATGACATCTTTCCATGAAAATCCACAACTGTCATCTTTTGTGATTGTGATTACATGTCATACGTGTGTAGGTAATTGTTATTATATTATAGTTAGTATGTTTCCAATTTTATTATGAATAAACTTTAACCAGTATCTTTGCACATGTACTAAGTACACAGCTAAGAACAATTATTTGCTGAAGAATGCATGCTTTTCTTTCCCAAAATGCTGCAGAGGCTTTATTATGATTTTATACTGTCTCATCCTACAGCCTCTAAAAGGCATACCAATCTGCATTGTCTGTCTAGGTCTTAACGCAAATCGGCATCACACCTAGAGAATCTTTAGATCCCTAATAGCAACCTCTCATCACATCAATTAAATACATCCTAATAATCCACATACAAGGTGACACTAAGTAAAATACAATTGTGTGTATGTGTGTGTTTTAATATTGTGCAAGAGATATCTCTACAGACCACTAGGCCCTTCGAAATTTCACTGAGGAAGCAAGCCATTGTATTTTGTATGAGGTTTTTGTTCTTTGCTTTGGCACACACCAGCTACCTAGACTGTTTGTTATTTGAGCTTCTAGATTTCTGTTACTTCCTGCACTTTGGGACCTGTTGGCATAAAGTTGTCACTCTAATGGGCCAGCAACATGTCCAGTCAGAAATCTTAAGCCTAAATCATGGTACAGAGATGGAGAGTTGATATAAACCTGAGGTAAGAGAGTAAAATTGTCCTAAATGTGCTGGAATCTGACTATAATTTCAAATAAGAGAAAATAAAACCAGTCACTGGTGAGGCCTGAGCTGAATTGTCTTCACCTTGTTAGATAACTTCTTCAGGTGGGATGTTCAAGGAAAGCATCAACCTCCTCAATGTGAAAGGGACAAACAACTGGTCCAGCTGTCAGGGAGGTGCAATTCATCTTCACTCCCTCTTATTTACTGCACATATTTCCAGTTTAGATATCAAATACCCTTCCTATTATCACAGCCCCAACCCTTCCTTATCAGCATTCCTGCATTTTGCTTGAGTCCTATTAATGCTGTGTATTTTACTTCTGCAATTCAGAATTCAGCAACTCATGAGATTAAACATTTATTTGATTTGCAGCTAACTTAGATCTGCTGTTGCAATGTGTAGATACATTTAGCACTTTACTAGATAGTCCCTAAGTTTCCTCTGTGTCTTGAACAGTTTAGGAACGTGAACATGTCATTCTCATTTTAACTGTTCTCTTAAAAGAATCTGTTTAACTTCTGCTTTTAAAACCTGCATATCCTTCTAGGGCATCAGTAAAAACAGAGGTTAACCCAGTCCACCCCAGCTTCTTTTAAGTCCACAATTGTTCATAATTATCTATTAAAAACAAAAATTCATAAAAAAGCTAAACCAGATGGGATGCCAGTAAAATTGGAAGAAATCAGGCTTACCCCAGGCAAACAGGACATATAGTGACCCTCACAAGATGATCCAGAAATGCTGCGCCACTAAGCACTTGGGCAGGAGAAAATGAGAAGCATCTGTGAAAGACGATAAAATCCTGGAGACCGTTTTTTTTTTTTCTATTTATAATTTTTCAAATACAATGTCCATCTCAAGATAAAAGATAAGCAGTCATATGAAGAAATAATAAAAATTAAGTAGGAATTCACAGCAACAAAAAACAACAGAGACAGATCAGTAGGCACCTCAGATAATGGAATTATGAAACACAGATTACAAAATAACGAATCCAAGTCTGAATTTTTTTCTCAGAGAATTGGACCTACCTGATTAAACATCAAATACACACTTCTATATATCCTAAAAAATAGACATAATTTAGAACACAATTGGGAAATTTAATATAATTTAGGCATATTTTCGTTTAACAATTAAAATATGTCACTGTCCTTTGGCATTCTAATGCTGATGTGAACTCTAATTGCATTTCTTTTGAATTTAGCATCTTTGTACCTTTTAGCATCCTTTTCCCCCTTTATCTAGATATTCTGCAGTATCACTTAATGTCTCTATTTTAGTGCTTCTTCAATCTTAGAATCCATATCATCCATTCTGAAAAATAATTATCCATAATCAATTCAAATGTAGTCTGGCACTCATTTTTATTGTACCTTAATGGAATTAATTATAAATCAGTGCAGGATCTTCTCATTCTATTCTCCATTACCATCCTTTTATCTTTTACAACACATTTTGATAATAATAACACACAATAATATTATTATTATTGTACATCTAATAAGTGGCAGGACCTATGTAATTTACATTTTACTCCTAAAAATCATAATCAAATCTAAAAATATATTAAATAACTTGCTAATGGTTACAAGTTTGCTTTTGTGCCACTTTTGGCAGGTTTTTCCTTTTCAGCTCTGTATACAGTGTATCACACCAAAGTTTAATATTTAATTTTTTAAAAAAATTTATTTTGCTTTTTGTTCCTTTTCAAATCTATGTGCTTTTCCACAATGCACCACTTTTGCTGTATCAATTGTATTTTATAATTTGTCTTCTTGAACACATTAGTACACATATTTTAAAGTATCTCTCATGTTAATATGGTATCTGTTCTTTGTGTGTTGAATCTCATGTTTGTTTCATCTTAGGATACTGTCTCATAAAGTTTGTAATTTATGCTGTGAAATATTCTTCAGCTGACTTTCTTTCTATGTGATTATCTTTCTCCTCTGAGTTATCTACTTGTGTAGCCTTCCCATCATAGGTTACTTAAATAACACAGTTAATGTGCATATAGACCCATGCCAGCATTTAATAGCTTGAGTTCCAGTTTCTTGCCAGCAGCACTTTTTACCCCACACACTCCCCACCATGAGTGGGCCATTTATTTGATCTGTTCTGTGGTCAAGGACTGAAATTACTTTTAGACTGTTACATGAAACAGCCTGCCCTTCCTTGAAGTGTTTTGTTTTGTTTTTGTTTTTGTTTTTGTTGTTTTTTTAACTCCAAAGTAGAAATGAGATTTTGGACTCAGAATACTAATTTATTTATCAGCTGAAACTCTGCCCAAGGAAATCACCCTATATCAATATTCCCAAAAGATTTGTGGCTTTGCTTTTGGGCTCTATTATGGGATTTTTTCCTTCTTTATTTCTAGGTTGTGGAAGTTCCCTTTATTGCTGTAGAGCTGCATTTAAAATATTCTATTATGTTTCCTCTGGACTGTCCATGTGTTTGGAGTGAGAGTAACAAATGTTTTGAGTTAATTGTATTCTGTATATCACTAGGATGTAGTAAAGTGATATTTACACCTAGATTTCTGCATATTGAATAATCCTCTTTAATAGTTCTTTTTGCATTTATTATTCAACTTTCTTAAATAATACAATGATCATATATTGAGAATTTAATCTCAAGAACACACAACCAAAATTTATATTGAATTTGTAGATAATGTTGAATTATTACTACTGAAGACAGCATTAGCCACATTTAGTAAAGTTGTCTAACCAACACACAAGCAATAATATTAAAAAAAAAATCATTGTTATTGTGAAATCTGAGAAATACTGCTTAATTCCCTTATATATCCATTTAATTCACTAGGGAGAAAGCAATAGTTCCACAACAAACTATACAAAAATATACAATATCACAATATATTAGTATTTCAGGATAATCTATAAGACTTGGTAGAAAATACAGACTCTTAGAATCAGACTTACAGGTTTTTATTAAATGTCTTCAAAGTTATTCCCATTTAAAAACTCATTTAATTCACCTTACTTCCACTTAATCAAATCTTCATGCAGAATATATTTCTAAATACCAGAAAATTTCTCTAGTTTTCTCATCTCTACTATTCAAATTTTTCCTTTATAAAATATAATAATGAGATTTATTTTTTCTTTATTGCAAGCTTCTAACTATAACTGAACCAATATCAATGAACAATTATTCATAAAAGTCTTCCTTATGTCAACCATTTCTAATTCTAAACCAAAAGACTGTGCAGCTGAATAAAGCCAATCTTTTATCTACATAATGGAACATAAAGCCTATTTCCTACTTGCCTGAGTATCTTAAATCAACATATCAAATAATATAAATCATTCTATGTTGTAAAAATAGATTAAACTATTATGAAATTTGCCAATTTAAAAAAATTAAAAGAAATGCTATAATATGAAAGCTTCTGGATATAAAAGATATAAGTCTAACACAACTTGTAATTATTCTGATAGATTTTATATATGCATCACTGGTACACAAAACAGTATGAAATTAGAAGGTAAATAAATAATAATAACAATAATTGTATTCATCATGATATTTATAGTTTAATCCGTTTAACTTAAGCTTCCAATTTCTTATGAACTCAAGTTCTCTTTCTATCCTTTCAGGGCATGCTATAGCTGTGGCTGAAGTAAAGTAGAGTGTGGGTGTGGGGAGGAGGTGCCATCACAAAACTCTCATCTTTCTCCCTCTTCTCTAAGACAGCTTCTTTGAAGTATGCAGCAGGAAAGAGGGAGAGAGAAATGACATGTCTTATGTGATTGTCCATTGTGAGATGGATGTCCTCTTTCTTTTGTTTGGTGCGGTCTCTTACCTAATGGTTCACAATTTTATATATATATATATTGTATATATATATGATATATACCATATATATTATATATGATATATGATATATATGATATATATCATATATATGATATATCATATATATGATATATCATATATATTATATATCATATATATGATATATATCATATATACATATATGATATATATCATATATACATATATGATATATAATATAATTATATGTCATATATAATAATACATAAGTAATATATAGTATATATATAATATATATATAATATAAATATATGTATGAAAGTAGTCCAAATGAGTTTTCTTATATTGTGGGGATATATATTCTTGAATAGCCCTGTGTAGTTTTATTCCCTGTATGGTTCCCATGCAGAGAAGTTGGCACCCCACTCCATGCCCAAGTTCAGATTTGACATACTTTTCTCTCTGTTAGTCCTGCTCCCAACCTTGTCATCTCTTGTTCATGAGTTATCTTTCCTAGAAGAATAACCTCCTCAGTAGGATACTAAAAAGACAGTTTAATCTTAAGTGACTTCTTACGATTCAGGAAACCCTGCCTATACATGCAAGCCGACATTGTAGAAGCGCAGCAAGACTCACTTGCTAGAGAACTCTACAATCTCTCCCTTGCCTATTACTCTACAATTCTGACTTTATGGGTTAGAAGAGCAGTTCAGTCAGCAAAAATTTTGGTAGCTATATGGGGCAGTGAGTGGGATGAATATCTCTTCTTCAAGAATTACCATCTCCCTCAAAGAGACTATTATTGCCTTGCCTACTGTTTCTACCTTTTCTCCTTTATATAGAAAATGAATCTTATATTATTAATATGATATGATACATAAACAGAAACATTAAAATAAAAATATATTGTTAATATATTTTAATGATATATTAATTCTACTCTGTGTGACTGTGTGTATATATATATATATATATATATATATATATATATATATATGACTAAGCCTCCTCCTAATAGTCACTGTTTTATAAAGGATTAATAATTTTCTCTCTCTCTCTCTCTATATATATATCTTTACATAAATAGTTTTATATACATAGACTTTATATATGTGGGTGTGTGTGTGTGTATATATATATATACACAGAGAGAGAGAGAGAGAGAGAGACAGTATTATTAATCCTTTACACTAAAGAGAATAAGTGAATATTAGGAGGAGGCCTAGTCAGAAATGGTACAATTCAAAGTTTATTTTAAAGTGTGCAGTATTTCATTTCTTTTGTTCTCAAATTTGCATTTTATTTGCAAGTCTGAATTAGAAAACTAAATTTCACTTGACTTGCTTCAAGCAGTTTTCTATAGATGCTCAAAATAAAATTCTTTAAGACAGGAAGGTTTACCCCCCTAGGTGTTACCCTATCAAACACTCAACATTATTCAAATAATCACACATCTCAGAGTATTCCCCAATAGCTTACAACTTTCAAGAACGCATTTTCTGGCAAAAAGTAATTCCTTATTAAATAATATTTAATAATGATTTAAATAATAAAACATGTTAGAAATAGTAACATTGTGCAATGGAAAATACTTTGGATCATAAATTGATTTTCAAAAAATACTGCTACTAATTTAGAAGTGATTCAAAAAGGCAATATAACTTAAGAGCAATTATAAATCTTGGAATAATTCATTTGATTATGTTTTTGGGATATAACATATTTCTCCTTCTAGAATTCCTCAGTGACTACTCTAGCTCTTTAGTATGTATAATATTAGATATTGACAGGTCATCAACAGCTAATAAGAATGCTGCTAACTCCTCAAAAGAAATATATTCCATATGCTAGATTCTTAGGTGTGAAATGTATGGAAATTTGGGCTCTATTCAGCATTTCAGAGAGAGAAAATATCTGCCTTGCAATTAATGGAAAAGTATACATTGTATGATTAAAATGACAAAAACATGCCATAAGTTTCAATATATTCCAAAAGACACCCAAATGTGACATATTTTCTTTTTTTGTTACTTTTTCTCTGACTATTTATAGCAGTAGTCTGTCAATCCCTACTTCCTTTCAAAACACATGCACTCAACATTCATTCCAGATTCTCAATTATAAAATCATTTCATCTAAACATTGAAGATTATTTGGAATTCTTTGAGTTAATAGACAAAGCCAAATCACTCTTATGAATAAACACATGAAAGTAAAGTGTATTATATTTCAAATTGTTTAAATAAGACAAATATCATCTCAAAGTTTAAAAATATACTCACATCCACGGTTTGAACTTAATTTTAACTTAACAGAATTTAACAGCAGTGTAGATTTGGGGTAGGGAAACTATGACCTATGGGCTGAATTCAGCCCACTACCTATTTCTGTAGATACAATTTTATTCGAAACTAGACACATTCATTTATTCATCTCAGAAAATTACGTAGGTTGTTTTTACACTGTAATGAGAGAGAAGAGTAGCTGCAAAGGCACCCAAAGTTGCATATGGCACACATATTTTCTCTTTGGTTTTTGCTATTTAACTGATCTCTGGCATAGACTGTGATTATTATTATTTTTTTAATGTTGAGATTTCCATCAATTGAGATACAGAGTAATAGATTTGTAAGTATAGGTCATATTTTTTGACTTGTGTAGCTCACAAAACTGGACACTTTTACCTGGACATTTTCAAGTTTGGACTTTGGACACCTTTAAACCTTTAGCTGTAAGTAAATTACAAATAAAATGTGAGTGTTTTAGAGGCCTATATTGTTATTCTTGTTTTCACTTTCTTTGTTATTTTTTAAAGGAATTAGATCTCAGTTCAAAATTCTAGTATACAATCAGCACATTCTTTTTAAATTGTAATAATGTCTATTTTGAAACCATAGAACTCCAAGATAGTAACCATTAAAAATCAGTGTGTCAGTTTGAAGATTTTTCTCATTGCACAATTATTATGTCTGTTTGAACTCTAGGAGTATTTTGAGTATTAGTTACTAATTTCCACTACTCTCTCGTAACTTATTAATTTTTCTTATCTAGTTTCAGCAATTAATTCACACATGTGATTCCAAAGCTGACCAGCATTTTGCATGGGACTTAGTGATGGTAATCTAAACAGTTCATCATGAGACATCATTCTATTGTATTCGCTAAACCTTTTCATGTTTGTTGGATCTTACTTCTATTTCAAGGCCATTCATGAGACTTGTGAATCATGCTGCTTTTCCTATAATCTGCTGTGGTAGGATAATATCTACAGGACCCATTTATCTATTCTTGCTCTATAACTTTTCCATTTTGCTTTTCTTGCAGCTTCTTTGTGGCTTTGCCTGGGAATAAGGAGCAGAAGCTCCTTTCTAGAAAACATCACTGCCTTATTGTGACTATGTCTCCCTTCACTCAGTATAAAAAAGGAAAGTTCTACATTTCTCAAACCCTATCTTTCCTGCTCATTTATTTATGGCCAGTAGTATCCTCCTTGAAAGATAATGGCCTATACAAAATAAACCCATAATAAGAGCATATATCTCTATATCTTGCCACATCTTTCTGCAAGAGCAAAGAATCCAAATATCAAGTTGGGTTGAATGAAGATAAAAGAAAAAAAATGAAAACAAAACTGGGAAACAAAAATAAAAATCTGTTATGATTATGAAAATAATACTGCACTAAACTTGTTTCTTGCTATTGCCATATCAATCTTAATCAAATACTAATTTTGCATATCAAACATATTTTTGTGCATGTATGTTACTGGTCCAGATAAATTAAGTTAGGGTAAAGCAACCACTTACTTTTTAATTTTAGTAGTTAAATATAATAATCATTGATACCATTTCAATATATATATCTACTACAAATTGGTGTTTGTGTCTGCTCCAAACACAGGGTTTCAATATGATGAAGAGTTCTTTTACATCATCAAGAAGAGGAAGAAAGATACTAGAAAACCATGCAGAGACTTTTCTCTGACTCAGCCAAGATGGGAAAATATATCACATTAACTCACTTATTATGAACCCTAGATAGACACACAATTTCACTTTAGTGTAAATAGGCTTAAAATGAGTCATCTTTGTTCATAAGGGAGAACTCTGTAATGAGATTTGGTGAACAGATAATAGTATTTGTAACACAAGAGATATAATTTGACGATGTTTCCAATTTTTTTCAACTGTGGTGTAGGGATTCTCAATCATTTGATAAAACACATCACAATGCAAGGGAAAAGTTCTATCTGAGGAAAAAAAGGGAACAAGCTATGAAAACCAGTTTGGTAAGAAGCAAGTGAAAATATTTACTCATTCTAAATAAAACAAGGGAAAGAGTACCCAGGCTTTCTCCTCCCATGTGTTCTGTATATCATAACTTCAAATGATACATGTAATTACATGGTTTTCACAACTGTTTTATTGTAGTAAAACATACATGACATAAAATTTACCATCTTAAAAATTTTAAAAATATTGACAGTATTATTAAATATATTCATAAAGATGTATATTATCATCACTATCCATCTTCAGATTTCTTTTCATCTTGCAAAACTAGAACTCTGTATGCATTAAAAAATATCTCAATATCCTTCCCCTGCTTCTCTGGCAACCACCACTCTACTTTAGGTCTCTATGATCTTGAGTATTTTAAGTGCCCTATCTAACTGGAAACATACAGTATTTGTCTTTTTGTAACTGGCTTATTTTACTTAGCATAATGTCCTCAAGTTTCATCCATGTTGTAACATATGTTTGAATTCCTTTCCTTTTTACAATTAAACAATATTCTATTGTGTTTATATAGCATATTTTGCTTATTTATTCATCCCTCAAAGGACACTTGAGTTGCTTCCATGTTTTAGCTGTTGTGAACAATGCTGCACGTGAATGTTTAACTATCTCTTCAAGACTTTGATTTTATTCTTTTTAATCTATACCCAGAAGTGGAACTGTTTAATCATATGGTAATTATATTTTTGATTATTTGAGGAATGGCCATACTGCCTTTCATAGCAGTTATATTATTTACATTTCCAGCAACAATAAAAAAGGGTTCCAATTATTGTGCATACCACAATTGTTACTTGTTTTTTTCTTTGATAACCAATACACTAATGGGTGTAAGGTGGTATCTTGTGCTAGCTTTTATTTTATTTCTCAAATGATGAGCAATGTTAAGCATTATGTCATGTGATAACTGGCTATTTGTATATCTTCTTTGAAAAAATGTCTATTCAAGTTCTTTGCCCATTTTTGAATAAGGCTGTTTTGTTGTTGAATTTTAGGAGTTGTTTATGTGTTCTTGATATGAATCCCTTATCAAATACATGATTTTCAAATATTTTCTCCCATTCTGTATATTTCCTTTTTACTCTCTTGATGGTGTCTTTTAATATATTTTTTAATAATTTTCTTGAAGTCCAATTTGTCTAGTTTTTGTTGCTGTTGTTACCTGGGCATTTAGTGTCATATCCAGGAGATTATTGCCAAATCTCAAGCTGCAAAGCTTTTTCTTTATATTTTATTATAATAACTTTACAGTGTCTGGCCTTACATTTAGCTCTGTGATTCATTCTGAGTGAATTTCTGTGTATGGTTTTAGGTAAGGGTCCAACCGTATTATTTTGCATGTCAATCCAATTTTCCAGTACCAATTGTTGAAAGACTGTCCTTTACCTATTGAATGCTCTTCATACCCTTGTCAAAAATCATTCGAAAATAGAGGCAATGGTTTATTTCTGGGCTCTCTATTTTATTCCATTGGTCTCCAAGTCTGACTTTATGCCACAACCACAATGTTTGACTACTGTAGCTTTGTATTAAGTTTTGAAATCAGATGTGAGGGTTCTCCGGCTTTGTTTTCCTGTTTCAAGATTGTTTTGGCTCTTCCTGATCCTCTGAAATTTTATGTCAAGTTTAGAATGGGTGCTCTATTTCTGAAAAATAAAGCATTAGGATTTTGATAGAGATTGCACTGAATCTGTAGTTCACATTGGATAGTATCAACTTTTTAACAATATGGTCTTCCAATCCATTATCATGAAATGCATTTCCATTTATTTGTGTCCTTTAATTTCTTTCAACAATGTTTTGTAGTTTTCACGGTACAAGTTCATCTCCTTGGTCAAGATAATTCCTAAGTTTTTAATTTTTATTTTTGTAAATAGAGTTGTTTTCTTCATTTTCTCTTCAGGTTGTTCATTGTTAAAATATAGAAATGTAATGGATTTTGGTGTGTTGACTTTGTATTCTGCTACCTTGCTAAATTCATTTACTAGTTCTAACAATTTTCATGTTGAATATTTAGGATTCTACACCTAAGATTATATCATCTGCAAAATGGATTTTTTTTCTTTCTTTCCCATTTGGATGCTTTTTATTTCTCTTTTGTTTGTTTGTTTGCCTAATTGCTTTGACTAGAGCTTCCAACACTATGTTGAATACAAGTGACAAAAGCAGATATCCTTTCCTTGTTCCACGTTTTAGAAGAAAAGCTGTCATTCACCATTAAGCATTATGTTTGCTACATTTTTTTATATACAGCTTTTATTATATTCAAGTAGTTTCCTACTATACCTAATTTGCTCATTTTTGTCATAAAAGTGTGTTGAATTTTAACAAATGCTTTTTCTGCATTACTTGAGATAAACGTGTTTTTTTTCCTCTTCATTGTGAATGTTGAATCATCTTTGCATATTTATCCAATAATAAACTCTACTTGGCCATGGTGTACAATCTTTTTAATATGCATCTGAATTTGGTTTGCTAGTATTTTGTTGATAATTTTTTATTTATTTTCATAAAGGATATTGGTATGTGGTTTTCTTTTCTTGTAGTGCTTTTGTCTGATTTTGGTGTCAAGGTAATATTTGCTTCACAAAATGAGTTAGGAAGTGTTTTTGCCTCTTCAAACTTTTTGGAAAAGTTTGAGAAGAATTGATGTTAGTTCTTTTTTTAACTAGTTGGTAAACTTTACTAGAGAAGGCATCAGATCCAGGGTTTTCCTAATTGGGATATTTTTGATTACTTACACAATCTCCTCACTAGATATAGATCTATGTAAATTTTCTATTTATTCCTGACTTAGTCTTGATAAGTTTGTGTTCCTAGAAATTTGTCCATTTCGTCTAGGTTAACCAAGTTTTTCGTATACAATTAGTCATAGTACACTTATAATCTTTTTAATTTCTATAGAGTTGGTAATAATGTCTACACTTTCCTGATTTTCAGAATTTGAGTATTCTCTCTTTATTGTTAGTCCATCTAGCTAAATTTGTTTGTTTTTTTATTCAGAGAAAAGTCTTTTGGTTTCATTAATTTTCCCTTTTTTAATTAAGTTCTCTATTTATTATTCCTTTCTCTAGTTTTTATTATTTCTGTCTTTCTGCTAGCTTTGGGTTTAATTTGTTATTATTTTTTCAGTTTCTCATTTTAAATTAATATGGTTGATTTGAGATCTTATTTCTTAATATAAATGTATATAGATATAAATTTTCTCCTTAACACTGTTTTTACCATGTTCTATATATTTGGTGCATGGTGTTTTCATTTTTATTCATCTCTAAGTATTTTCGAGTTCCTTTTGTAATTTTTTCTTAAATCCATTGATTTTTGAAGAGTGTGATATTTAATTTTAACAAATTTGTAATTGTTTTCATCTTTTCTTTTGTTTTTGATCTCTAACTTTATCCCATTGTAGCTAGAGAAGATATTTTGTATAATACCTATCTTTTAAAATCTATTGACACTTAATTTGTGACCTAGTACATGACCTATTCTGTAAACTATTCCATGTGCACCTGAGAAGAATGTGTATTTTGTTGTTGTTGTTGTTGTTGTTGTTGGGAAGAGTGTTTTTGTTCCCAGACAGAAAGTGGTCTGGCTGCTTAGTCTTGTGGTCCAATAACAAGATGCAGATGGACTGGCAAAGAAGAAAGTTTATTTCTGCAACTGGCCACAGGGAGAAGGTTAGGAAAATTCACCAAACCAACTCAAAGTTACAAGTTTTCTTCTAGTGCTTATATACGTTTTAAGCTTTATGCCTACATGTGGGAATGCATGTACAAGCAGGATTGTTTCACTCAATCTATATCTCATCTTTAACTAGGGCCTGGGGTCTGGAAAGCTTTCTCTACAGTCTTGGAAAGTTTCTTAATCTTAAGTGGGTCGTTGTATGAGGTGTATGTGTAAGAACACTTTTATTATTCAATCAGATTTTAGGGTCTGAGAAAACCCAGGTGGGGTCTTAATGGGTTTGTTTTCACATTCCAGCCCTTGTAGTCAGGCAGCAGTTTCTCTAGTTCTTTAATGTTTAACTTATGTGTTCCTCAAAATTATACTAAAGGGTTAGTGGAAACTGACTGCTCTGGTTCTCTTTACTCTTCCATCTTTGCCCCTTGCATTATTGCAAGGCAATTTTATTCCTTCACTTGTATAGCCATAAAGAAAACATATGAGTTCATAACAAAACCAGTCAATTTTCATATTTTGCTTTTGCCATATAAATGAAATTTATTTTTCATAGGAAAAAAAACTATAGAAATATACAAATATTTAATCAATACTACCTTTACTACTGTTGCATTTTTTTTCTTATATCTTTATTAAATCTCACTATGTGAAATTCCATGGAAAAAAAAACATATGTTCAACAAACATGTTGGCATGGATATCTTCTCAATTAAATCTTTTTTTCTAAAATTGGTAGAAAATGTTATTTTAAGAGAAAAACATGAGATTTCCTTTTGCTTCCTCAGAACTTTATCATAATTACATATATGAATGTGATATATACATATATATAATGCATGTGTGTATTTAATTTGTGGTAAATGTTTTAAAAATAAGCAAGAAAATTAAAAGAATAACAAGAAAGAATGTAATTATGTTTTAACACAATATAATAAATTTTAATGCATGTATTTAAGAAAATCAGAAAGACATATGCTTTATTTGTATTGAGTGATTCTAACTATAGGGTAATGATTTTTACAGAACAAATATTTTTGTACATGCTAGGAAAGCAAAATGAACTGCAATAAGTAAGCATGTACTGTATCTCCTTCAGTCGTAAGTCTATCACAATGTGAAAAAAAAAATCTAGTTGAAAAGGACAAGTAAAGCAGAGTCAGCAAACAGGCAACATGGTTCTGAAGTCCTGATTCACTTCCTTTCATTAGTTTCCTTATTAAGTCAACTGAAATTTAAATTACCATTTCAAAGTTTAATTTATTTTCTTAGTCATGCAGTTAACCACATTTATAGAAGCCTGACTCTTCTAGGAAAGAAAAGTGCTGATAGTAGAACTAATACGAGAAAAGAGGAAAAGAAAGTGTAAATATCCATCTAAAATGCTAATCAGTTATTATTCTAAAAATGCATGTGATTATTTTTCAATATTTTACCTTTCAGGATGCTAAGATATAACTTTATTTTTAATTTTAATTTTCTCTTTCTTCAATTGTATATTTATAGATTTAATCCAGCTTCACCACTCTATAACCTTATTTATGTAGATTTAAACTTAATGTTGGGAAAAAGAGGGACTATTCCTGGCCTGTAGGAAGATGTCATTTTTACTTTAACACATATGGAAAAAGAGATAAATTTATGTTATGCATGTGTGTATATATATATATATATATGTATATATATATACACACACACACACGCACATACATATAACCTGCAATGTTAATTCAGAATTGAAGATCATTTAGAGGCCATGTAATTAAAACACACACACACACACACACACACACACACACACACAACCTGCAATGTTAATTCAGAACTTGAAGATTATTTAGAGGTCATGTAATTAAAACCTGCATTCAATATAAGAATCCCCCTCTACAATACATCTCTTGGAGTTAGCTAAATTTGTGCTTACTCGATTCCAGTAAAATAAAACACATTACATCAAGACATACTCCTCTAATAACTTTAACTTTATAGACATTTTTCTTAGATTGGGCTGCCTAGATTTTCATGTAGGAGGTTTATTCAATGTAATAGGAGAGTGTCCTTGAAATCAACTTCTATAAGGGAGTTAAGGAAGAAGGATTACACAGAGAAAGCAATTAAACTGGAATGAAATTGTGCAAACGCCTTGGCCAATGTGATGAAGAGCTCTGAAGCTAGGATGTTCCTTTCGAGTTATCCTGCCTGCAGAAAGGTGACCTCATTCTTTATACCATGGTATAAACCAGTCATTAGAATTAGAGTGCCCCTGGGGATGTCTTGCGAGCTCTATGGAGGTAGTATTTTTGGCAGAATGAGTTAACTGTGAGCTGTCAGCATGGAGGAATGAATGCTTCAGTCCTAAAGGGTGAATCTGGGTGACCTACTAAAGATTCCACTCAGCCCAACCCTTGCTCAACACACATCCATTATCTTTTCAAAACAAAATTTTCAAACAGACCTGTAAAATTCTCCTTGATCTTCTTCCCTGGAAAAAACTATCAAGAAGTATACTTGGATGAACTGTATCTTTTACCTCTGTACCTCATCACTGACACTGAACTAGAGGCCTCAACTGTCATTTATGGACTCTCTCAACTACTTCTCACTCAAGATTTTGCTTAACCTAGGCTAGCACCTCTGTAGAGGCATGATCAAGAACATTTTCAGTTATCTATGTCTCCAAATACCATGACCTATTCAGGTCATAGCAACCACAATAGTCCATTTACTGTAAAATTTGCACCAAGGCATATCAAGAGATGCAATAAATGGTCATCTGATGAGCCACATATCTCCCTCCATATCTCCAAATTTTAACAGCAGCCCAATACGCTGTTGATAATTGTGATCAATAACACTAGAAAGGAGAATAACGTGTTTTCTTGCTACGTGGTTTTTTAGCACAAGGAGCCTACACTGATCAAAAAGCAGCCAGAACCTGATGTTATTAGAGTTATCGTTACAGCCTCCGGTGAACTCATTGACATGGGAAGTACAAAATCCTTATGCAGGTAGCTAAGTGTGATGGTAGACAGGGGCACTCCTACTTTCACCACTGAGTGGCTAGACACAAGTTTTTGACCTATTGGACACAGCATCCGATAATAACAACTGACTTAGGATGGAAAACAAATTCTGGATAATGGCAGCCCATTTTCATTTTCAGAAGCCATGATACTGCTTTATTAAGCCAGCAGCTTCTGGATGGCAAATATTTGATATGGCCAATTTTCTTAGTTTGTGCTTCTCTAACAAAATAACTGAGACTGGGTAATTTATGAAGAACAGAAATTTATTCACACAATTCTGGAGAGTAGTAAGTCCTAAATCAAGGAGCTAGCAAGTTTGACATCTAGTGTGGACACAGTCTGCTTCCAAGACGGCACTGTGAATGCTGTGGCTTCTCATGGCAGAAGAGACAGAAAGAAAAAAAGAGGCCTACCTAGTTCCCTTCAGCCCTTTTATAATTCAAAAGTCCCATCCATGAGGATGGAGCACTCATGGCCTAATCTTAATTGGAATGCACCTATGTTTCTGGCATGAGTTGCTTTTTCTGCTCTCAGGCCATCCTAGGATAGGTCAGCAGCACTATCACAGTGTTTGTGAAGTGCTTGATTTACAGACAAGTTGTCTCATGTAACATCTCATCAGACCAAGAGATTCAATTGATAACAAAGAAAGAAGTTACGTGGCAATGAAATCCACTGGTGCTATTGTCTTAATGCATCCCAAAAAATTCAAATGTTTAAACTTAATCCCCAATGCAACAGTCTTAAAAGATGAGACATTGCAGTTAGAATACCAGGGTTTAAGAGGTCCAAGTTGCTAATTGAGTTCCTTGGAAGAAGTAACCTCTGATAGATAAGTGTTTGTCCCTTTTGCTGACAAGCTGGATAACCAGCGGTGAGTGAGGCTCAAACAGTAGGTTTCATGTGTAGCCTACATCTCTGCTACCTTGATTATTCCATTCCTGCAGCCATTAGCCATTATGCCGGCACTGAAGACTGATGGGAACGACTGGCTGGTAGAATCATTCTGTTTTCTTTAGTTGTTTAGAAGTGCATAACTAACATACAATTCAAGAATCCTCACAGTTTGTGAAGTTTACCCTTATGTTCTTTCTCCAGATCTCTTTGTATCTGCTGTGTCTCTGAGTTGATAAGGAGCATTATTCAAAGATCTGCCCCTTGGGAGCATTGTCCCTTGACATTGTCTTTCAGGGTGACACATAGATTGACAGTAGTGCAGCAGAATCTCAATTTTAGTTTGTACTCACTGATCCAAAACATCTCTTAACTAAGGTTAGTCTTTTTCCTCCTCAGTCAGCTGGTCATAAGCCACAGCCACCCTCTATGGGTTGGCTGACTACAAGAGTAGATAATAACACCAGTCTGTATGCTACTTGTTTGTGCAGCTTATTTGTGAATTCAAGACATTCTTATTTTCGATTCTGAGCATACCACTTCCGTCATAAGACGGAATGCTGTTGGGCGGCAGATGTGGTGGTTTTGATAGAACCCAGCCTATGGCAGGTTGCTCAGGCTGCATATTCATCTACTGTGCCATAGTGAGTTACTTTTTCTCCTCCGGGACTCACTGGCATTCCAGTATCTGTTTTTGAATGAGTATAATTTAAATGTCTTAGATCTGCTGCAGGGCCTTCACAAACTTCCATGTCACTGAGAAAACGTGTTGAATCTCTGATAAGCTTCTCTGTGATCCTGCAACCTCTCTCGTTAGCACAGTGTATATTGTTTTGATAGACACATGTCCTCAGGCAAACAGCACCATCCAGCATCGAGAGAGCGTAGGAAGTTTGTGAGTATTCAGATATTACTTAGCATACCCACGCTGTTCTCTGAATCTTTTGTTCTTTCTCTCCATTTGTTACCAGGCTATTTCTCTCACTTAGTGTTAGGCATTACTTTTTCCAAGTTTCTAAGTACCACGAGTAGTGTGCAGAGACAGGTTCTTGGGGTAATTACAAGAATGTTAAACCTGTATCATAAGAAAGCAAGCTTATATTGATAAAATCTTCATTATATAACTTTTTTTTCTGTTCTGTCATAATGCAGGTCCTCAGAATCCAGTCACCATGTATATTCTCTGGATTCCTGTTGGTACACATTGGCTAGTTCTACAATTCCTTTGAAGTACAGTCTCTTTTTTATTTCAGCATGCCCAAAGGTAGCTAGGTCTATATATTCTTGCACCAACCTGCCACAGAATGCAAGCTGGGTGTGGAGTTCAAGTTAACATTAGATGTGACAACTCTTTTTGCCTAAGGAAATTCCTGGAAAGTTACTCATTAGAGAGTGGTCATCTACCAACACTCCCAGTAGCTATGGAATAGGTGCCTGGGTAGGGGATCTGTGTAGTGCATCAAAGCTTCCATTTAAACATTCCAGTGTTCTTATTTACATTTTCAATCATTTTTGCATAATGTATTATCTCTTACACACCACACGCATGCACACACACACACACACGATGCCCTTTACTATAATCTAAGCTCACCACAGAACTGACAGAGAATATCTCAGATGACCTTCTTCTCCATTTCTCCTCTCTCTGTTTTATGTTATTTTTGTTCCATTGAGTTTCTGATACTTTTTTTTTTTTTTTTTGAGACTGAGTCTCTCCCTGTCACCCAGGCTGGAGTGCAATGGCACAATCTTGGCTCACTGCAACCACCACCTCCCAGGTTCAAGTGATTCTCCTTCCTCAGCCTCCAAAGTAGCTGAGACTTTGTCTCAGGTGTGCACCACCACATCCTTAGCAGAGATGGAGTTTCACCATGTTGGCCAGGATGTTCTCAAACTCCTGACCTCGTGATGTGCCCACCATGGCCTCCCAAAGTGCTGGGATTACAGGCGTGAGCCACCATGCCCAGCAAATTTTCTGACACTTCTTTCTAACAAAATCCTACATCTGACACAATTATTAGGATCTACTTCTACAAGATCTTAGATTTATTACATAAAGGATATTGGAGTAAATCAATGAACTTCTATATTACAATTATAAAATGTCATTATTTTATTACTATACTTTAAGTTCTAGGATACATGCGCACAATGTGCAGGTTTGCTACATAAGTATACATTTGCCATGTTGGTGTACTGCACCCATTAACTCATCATTTACATTAAGTGTATCTCCTAATGCTATCCCTCCCCCCCACCACATCCCACGACAGGCCCTGGTGTGTGATGTTTCCCTTCCTGTGTCCAAGTGTTCTCATTGTTCAATTCCCACCTATAAGTGAGAACACACGGTGTTTGCTTTTTGGTCCTTGTGATAGTTTGCTGAGAATGGTGGTTTCTGCTTCAATCATGTCCCTACAAAGGACATGAACTCATCATTTTTTATGGCTGTATAGTATTCCATGGTGTATACATGCCACATTTTCTTAATCCAGTCTATCATTGATGGATATTTGGGTTGGTTCCAAGTCTTTGCTATTGTGAATAGTGTCGAAGTAAACACACATGTGCATGTGTCTTTATAGTAGCATGATTTATAATCCTTTGGGTAGATACCCAGTAATGGGATGGTTGGGTCACATGCTATTTCTAGTTCTAGATCCTTGAGGAATTGCCACACTGTCTTCTAAAATGGTTGAAGTAGTTTACAGTCCTACCAACAGTGTAAAAGTGTTCCTATTTCCCCACATCCTCTCCAGCACCTATTGTTTCCTGACTTTTTAATGATCGGCATTCTAACTGGTGTGAGATGGTATCTCATTGTGGTTTTGATTTGCATTTCTCTGATGGCCAGTGATGATGAGCACTTTTTCATGTGTCTGCTGGCTGCATAAATGTCTTCTTTTGAGAAGTGTTTGTTCATACTTTTTGATGGGGTTGTTTGTTTTTTTTTCTTGTAAATTTGAGTTCTTTGTAGATTCTGGATATTAGCCTTTTGTCAGATGAGTAGATTGCAAAAATTTTCTCCCATTCTGTAGGTTACCTGTTCACTCTGATGGTAGTTTCTTTTGCCGTGCAGAAGCTCTTTAGTTTAATTAGATCCCATTTGTCAATTTTGGCTTTTGTTTTCATTGCTTTTGGTGTTTTAGACATGATGTCCTTGCCCATGTCTAAGTCCTGAATGGTATTGCCTAGGTTTTCTTCTAAGGTTTTTATGGTTCTAGGTCTAACATGTAAGTCTTTAATCCATCTCGAATTAATTTTTGTATAAGGTGTAAGGAAGGGATCCAGTTTCAGCTTTCTACATATGGCTAGCCAGTTTTCCCACCACCATTTATTAAATAAGGAATCCTTTCCCAATTTCTTGTTTTTGTCAGGTTTGTCAAAGATCAGATGGTTGTAGATATGTGGTATTATTTCTGAGGGCTCTGTTCTGTTCCATTGGTCTATATGTCTGTTTTCGTATCAGTACCATGCTGTTTTGGTTACTGTAGCCTTGTAATATAGTTTGAACTCAGGTAGCGTGATGCCTCCAGCTTTGTTCTTTTGGTTTAGGATTGTCTTGGCATCAGGCAGGAGAAAGAAATAAAGGGTATTCAATTAGGAAAAGAAGAAGTCAAATTGTCCCTGTTTGCAGATGACATGATTGTATATTTAGAAAACCCCATCGTCTCAGCCCAAAATCTCCTTAAGCTGATAAGCAACTTCAGCAAAGTCTCAGGATACAAAATCAATGTGCAAAAATCACAAGCATTCTTATACACCAATAACAGACAAACAGAGAGCCAAATCATGAGTGAACTCCCATTCACAATCGCTTCAAAGAGAATAAAATACCTAGGAATCCAACTTACAAGGGAAGTGAAGGACCTCTTTAAGGAGAACTACAAACCACTGCTAAACGAAATAAAAGAGGACACAAACAAATGGAAGAACCTTCCATGCTCATGGGTAGGAAGAATCAATATCGTGAAAATGGCCATACTGCCCAAGGTAATTTATAGATTCAATGCCATCCCCATCAAGCTACCAATGACTTTCTTCACAGAATTGGAAAAAACTACTTTAAAGTTCATATGGAACCAATAATAGGTCATTTTTAAACACCATTTTATACCCTCATAATTTTTACTTCCAAGGTTAGAAAAATGGAATACTCATATAGAATTTGGGAAAATATCAAAATTAAAAAAGTTAAGAACATTCAGTACATAAAAGATTTTCTTACACTTATACTTCTTTCTTACACTTACACTTTCGGAGCCTCAGATTGTGCATGTCTTCAGAGAGTTACAACAAATCCTTCCTTCTTTATTAAAGACATTTGCATGAACAGAAGACATTGTTTTTAAGAGTTCTCAAGCTTCTGCTGTTTTTATACTATCCGAAGGCTGTATCATCTTTTAATGTCAATGCAGTTGGTTGCCATAGAAATTATAACGATGTCACTCACTATTTAAGTCTAGAAATAAACAGTAGGAACAGATGGACATTTTAGAATGAAGGGCAGAGTTTTAATGCAAATTTTCTTGAAAACAAAGAACAACAGGTTAAAAATCACATGCAAAAAATAAAACTACCTTGTGCAACATTGCAAATTAGGGTGTGGTTTTATATTTAACCATCTAATTTCCTGGGTTAGAATCAGGGCCATAAGAGAAAAAGGGGCAAGAAAGGCATTTTCACAGAGCAAAGACGAAAACAGAAACTTTTAAGGTTAGAACTGGGTTATGGTTACAATATACAAATATAAACACCAAGCAATGCCAACCAGGGCTGGGACTGAGACTGACTAAAGAAAAATATGAATTTAACCTCCAAGGATTTGGGGTGGGTGTAATGACAGTTAAAATTTTAAAAACCACCAGTAATGTGTGTGAAGACCTATACAAAGATGTTTAACATTCATGGCCAGAGAATCAATGTAAGCACATGTTATATCTAGGTATACAATGGCAACAAATTTTTTTTTCAAAATGCATTATTTAAAAATTATTCTACCAATGACATATGAAAAACTTACAGATATGTCTGTATTCTTTGTTGAAAAATCATCTTTCTGACATAAAATATTCCCCAATTATTCATCATATAATATTCAAAGTACTGTGGACACCAGTATGTAGGAATCATGGTAAAATTAAACCAGTCAAGTCAGGAAAAAAAAGTAATCTAAATGCTAACTATACGACTTTTATTTTTGAGAAATTATTTATACAACTGTTACTAAAATGTCTTAAGTATCCAGTATCCTCCTTATCCCTCATATTAAAAAGCTTTTAGACTTTACTTAATTATATGTTTCCTATTGGATTATCAGTAGTTTTTATGTATAAAATAATTTACATATTGATAAAGTTATAACAAAGCACATAATAATTTTAACTTACAAGTGTTTTAGTTCATATTTAAAAATTTTTAAACATTTGCATCCTTTCAAGAAAACAAAAATTGAATTTAAAGCACAGAATTTACCTTCTGATACATAAGATGTCTCCTATGTGAAACTAAGAGACAATGATTAGATTATTATTTTTTCTTTTTTTTGGTCATAGTCTGCTAAAACAAAATAGAGGCTAACTTCCACATGGTAAGGAAATTTGAAGAAATTTATAACTGGCTATTGGACAAACCAAAAGCTACTATAATATAGCTGCTGAGCTTCTGATATTTAATTTTTCTGTTAATGCAATTAGACTGAATACATGTAAATTGTTGGGAAATGATATTTAAAATAATGGAATAAGACTTTGAAAATTATAGTTATCTTTTTTGAACATTTGCCCAAAGGGAAAATATACCCTTCTGTCTTGATAGATATGAGTGACATCTTTCCTTACACTTTTCAAAGACTGAATAAATTTGGTCAGGTCTGATTTCTTATTGGCTTTTCATTAACTGGCCTCACCCTACCAACATAAACTTTTGTGTATTTTTTTTAAGTTCACCAACACACTTAATTGATGTATAAATTGCATTAAAAAAACAGCCTAGGTTGTCTTATATCATTTTTATCCTCAGTCAACATTTCAGTAGACATTAGGTAATAAATTTAGTTATCTTCATTTTAGAAAACAGAATTTTCTCGGTATATTTAAAATGTCTGCATTCCTGCCTCTCTTTAATTTCCAAGCCAAATTAGTGGAAAAAGGTAGATTATAGTTGCACTGTGCACTTTCTAACTTTTTATTCACACTTTATGTCTTCATTTCTGATAATGACCTGTCATAAACACTATATTCCTCGAGATTACTAATGAATGCAGTGAGGATAAATCCGAGAAACACATGCTAAATGTTAACTTATTTTATATTTCTTTCTATGAGATGATTCTGCACTTCCTACAGTTTGAAACTAGCTTCTCTTGGGTTCTAAGACAAAATGCTTAGTTTTCCTCCAATCTCTTTGCTCACTAAACTTTAGTTTCACTTCTCTTTCTTTTCAGAGGTATTTTTTTCTGGAATTCTCATAATATTTTTGCCATTTCAGTTTTCATCTTTAGAGATGGTCTCCTAGACCCCCATACTTTCACTTCCCATAAATCTTCAAATTTGTATTATCATTTTCAAATATCACAAACATGCTAATGACACGAAGTTGTTCTCTTGAGCACTTGTGTCAGGAAATTTTCAGTTAGATGTCATATATATGACTGAAACATGTCTATATATGATACACACATATATAAGCTCAAACATATATATAAACATATATACGTATACACACACACACACACACACACACATATCTGTGGCTGTAAATTAACATTCAACTCTCAAATTCCTTTTAGTACCTGATATGGTTTCATTCTGTATCCTCACCCAAATTTCATATCAAATTGTAATCCTCATGTGTCAGTGGAGGGGCCTGACGGGCGGTGATTGGATCATGGGGCAGTTTCCCCTATGCTGTTCTCATGGTAGTGAGTGAGTTCTCTTGAGAGCTAATGGTTTTAAAAGTGTTTGGCAGTTACAACTTTGCTCTCTCTCTCTTTCTTCTGCAGCCTTGTGAAGAAGACTCCTGCTTCCCCTTCACCTCCACCGTGGTTGTAAATTTCCTGAGGATTCCCAAGCTATGAGGAACTATGAGTCAATTAAACCTCTTACCTTTATAAATTACCCAGTCTCGGGTAGTATCTTTATAGCAGAGTGAGAATGGACAAATACAGTACCCCACTATATTACCTTCTGTTCTATTTTCTGTATCAAATGTCTAGCCATTCATACTTGAAATCTGGGAATCACCCTGTAGATGCCCTTCCTCTGGAGGATATTCTCTTTTCCTCACTGTTCCTCATTTCATTGGTCAGAAAATATTGCCACTAATTGCTACTATATTTTCTCAATTTCTGTTCATGCTATTCCTTCCTCTGCATTTCATTATTGCCTACTCCTCCTTTTGCATCTTCATGTGGTTATATATATTAAATTCAGTCTGACCTATTTTGATATAAGTAAATAAAATCTTAAAATGCTGTAAATGACACTTTTAGTTCATGGTACTTAAAATTCCTTTATTATATCATGTTCATTCAGGTTGTCTTGTCTTTACACATACTGTTATTTTTTCCCAGAATATTTCAATTTCTGACATATCCTCTGATCCTTGCTAGCATCTATCTTTGGGAAATTTTACTTGTTCTACAAGACTCACATAAGCAGCATTTCCTGCAGAAAAATCTTCCCATATGTCTACCATTGGATGTGACTATATCATAGGTTCCTTTTTTATTCACTTAACAACACATATCATTACTTCAGTAATATGTTTACCATATTCTGATCTATTTATTTATTTTAGGTTAGTTTATAAAAGCAGGCATTGTGTAACATGTTGGCGTCCTAAGTTAAAGCACTTGAAAATATGTTTAATAAATACATGAAAGAATGAAATGCAAAAAATAAATAAAATGGATAATAAATCTTATAAACATTTAATTGCATGATTCTGTTTTTCGGATTCCTTATTCTTTTACCTGGGCCAGACATGACTTTAAAAACATGTGGTAGACATACCTTGTAACCTAGGCACTGGATTTGGCCCACCACCAGCATCTTAGACCTTTCCTTGCCTCCTGCTCTAATATGCCACTAACACGTGTTCTTACTTATTACTCAAACTGTAATGTGTCTCTCTCCCAGATCCTCTTCATTTCACATTATCTGGGCTCTCCAGCTCCACAATTTTTTACACAGGCTGCCTTTAAAGAATCTTTGGGCTTATGACACAGGAGACTGCATGCAATCATCTAGATTGACCATTCTGTGGAGCAAGATCTGAGATGAGATGCCATTTGGTTTTGGGCAATTTAGCCAGAATCATTAGGTTGTTACAATGTTTGGGGGACATACAAATCTCATTAGTTATTAAGAAAAATTGTAAAATATTTTGGGTTATATAAAAGAATATTAGATCATTCGAATTTGAAATTTTGAGACGGTAATGGTCAAAGGATTTTGTAAGCAATGATTATTGACTTATTTATCTATGAGTAGCTTTATCTTAAACACTGAAGAGGATTCAAGTATCTAGGAACAGTTGACATTTAAGATTAAGTTTCTGTATCAATTCTAGTATAATAACTGTTCCCAGGAGAGTTAAGTATAGCATTTGATACAGCAACCAATTTCATCTACCCTATAATATATACTAAGGCATTTGTTAAAGAAAATAATTACAAATACAAAGGACAGAAACCCAGTAGAAACTAGTAAAATTTATTTTCGTGTGTGTGCGTGTGTGTGTGTTTCTTGAGGAATGCATTCTTAGGTTGAACAACTAGAAAGAGAAACAAGGAAGTAAATAACGTGTAAGTCAGCTTAGAGTAGAAGGAACGAGATGTGATCTCAATGGGACTCTCAGAGGCTTCTAGGATATTTCCAAGATTTTATTCCTTTACTTTGCTGGTGCTTAAGTGAGGATTCATTTTATAATTAATTATTTATTATACTATCAAAGTAAGTTTTACTCCCTTCTAGATATCTGTGTTAGATTTCACAACAAAAATCGTACGAATGAAAAAAAAATTACCTATATATTAAGACAAATAAAAAATGTCCAAATTTATTGAAAATGAAATCACATTCTCTGATCAAAATGAAAAAAAATGCTTTTACTAAATAAAAAGGGGATCACTCCTGCAGAAAAATTATAGGAAAGTATATTAGAATTAACTGATATCCCTAAAGAGGCCAAAGAAAATATTTGAGTAGAATATAATATTTCATGTGATAATAGCGGAAAATCTGCCCTGAGAGAAGGATCAGAATATTCATTTGAAAATCACACAATGTGAGTAAATACATCACACCGCAATATGTTGTAATGGTGTCACTGAACTCCAGCAATAAAAAGGGAAATTACATAAACCAATATTTCTTCAAATGTGATCCCCAAACCAGTAGTGTCAGCATCACTAGGGAATTTGTCAGAATGGCAAATTTCCAGGCTGTATCAAAGATTTCTTCTGAGTGTGGGGTTTAGCAATTTATGTTTAAACAATTCCACCATGTAAAAATGTAAGAGCCACTGAATATAAAATTCTAAGATAAAAATAAAATAAATATCAAGTAAACTAAAAATGGGAAACTCAGACTGGCATCTGGGTTTCTCACGGTAATACCTGATGCTCAAGGAAGGGAAGTGTCATCTGACTTCTGAATCCACTAAGGCGTGATTCAAGTGTAAAAGCAACACACAAACATTCTTAAACATGAAAGAAGTCAAAGGTTACAGGACATTTATTTTGGGATGTTTGTGGAAAAAAAAAACTTTTAATGAGTTTAGCCAGCCAATAAATAATGCATAATATAGAGCTCAAAAATGGAGAAGCTGTGAAAAGAAAGAGGTGTTGGAATCAATCACATGCTTTTAAGTGTATATCTAAGTCTGAATGACTGTGGAAATTGTGTTTTTTGTTTATAAACAAAAAAAGAGAGCATGACAATTGAAAACGTATTATAAAATAATACACAATGAAAGTGGCAAGAAGGAAAAGTAGGGGGAAGTACTTGGACAAAGGTTTCCTCATTTTAAAAATAATTAAAATACAGCAGATAAAAGCCAATAAATACAGCAATTTCTATATGAAAACAGTCAATAAACTTCCAGTCTTAAAATAATGTTACCATAATGACAACCAACAAAGAAAACAAATAAGGATCATACAGAAAAAAAATGAAAGAATCATTAAACCAGAAATAAAACACAAAATTGTGATTCTGAGAGCATATATCACTTATATATAAATAACTGTAGGAGATAAATGTATTTGTTACAATTTTTAAAACTAGAATAATAACATTTGTAAACTGGAGATGCATATAACACAAAGTGGCTCAAAATAACTGAAATTGTTAGCCAAATATATGAAAATTGCATGGGAAGAAAAAGCAGAGTTTGAATTCAAAGAAAAAGCAATATATAAAGGAAAAAAGGGGTAGTAAACTACGATAATCATAAATATATGTTCAACTTAAAATATATAAAATTCAAACTGTAAGAAAAGAATAAGTGGAATAAAATACAAGGAAGATAAAAGATAAACTAGACAAAAAAATTTAGTGTATTGAGTACTCAATCATCATAATGATAAATTTGATCTAGTAGATGAGTTTAAACTCATATGAGTTGACAATACACTAATATTCTCTCAAAGAGTGAATAAAAATATTTTTAAAATTACCTATATATTAAGACAAATAGAAAATGTCCAAATTTATCAAAAGTGAAATTACATTCTCTGATCAAAATGAAAAAAAGAGAGCTTACCAGTTAAAAAGAAAAAACTGATAACAAAAAACCACCATATAAAATAGAGTATAAAACAGCTATTAAATTAAGATAAAAAATAAAATACAAATTGCAAAGAAATGGGAAATAATTTCAATGAATAATATAATTGCTAATTTACCTAAATTCATGGTCCTGGTAAAATAGCTGAAGATCGCTGAAGTCATATATTTAAAGTCAGAAAATAAAAATTAATTAATTATGCATTTTTAAAAATAACAGAAAATATTAAATGTAATGTAAGAGAAACAGAAAAATAATGAATTGAAAAACAAAAAAGAAATTAAGTTATACAAATAATAAAACAGTAAAGTTTATATTTTACAAAGAACTACAATAAAAGTTTTTTAAATATAACATAGATATGTCATTAGCTAATCTAATCAAGAAAAAATGTATAAAAATGCACTAAATGGAAAAATTAGAAATGAGAAAAATTACACAAAAATGGACACATGTAGTGAATTATGAGATGATAATTTGCTCATCTCTGAAAACAAATCTGAAAGCCAATATTTTAAAATACCCGTTTTTCAAGTTTTCAGTGCATGCATGCTCTCTCTCTCTCACTCACAGACACACACACACACACACACACACACACACACACACACCATACAGGTATTTCAAAAGTGAATTTAAATAACAATTTTCACATAGGTAATTCCAATTCTCTATTTAAAATTTAAAGTTGTTGATCTGAAATAGCACCAGTATGACTGGAGAGCTTGATAGAAATACCCAATTTCAGGCCCCACCTAGACCTATTGAAACAGAATCTGTAATTTTACCAAGACAGGTGGGTAATTCACATGCACATGAAAATATGAGAAGCCCTGTATTAAGGCATTGGTTCTCAACATTGTCTACATATTAGAATCATGCAGAAAGCTGTCAAATAAACAAGCAAACAATCAAATAGAAAATCACAACAGAATTGTGGAACTCAGACCCACGATTTTGTTTAATCACTATAAAGTAGCTCCTAGACAATAATGACTTTTAGAAATACTGTGGAAGAACAAGACTATAGCATATGAATCAGATATGAATTACGCATAAACATAAAATATTTTTGTTTTTACTAATAAATGATATCAACATCATGTGCTAGGACCATATGGCTTGATAGCTGTGGGGAAAACTGTAATTTGCCAATCATATCTCACCCTTTGTGTTAAATTTAGGTAAATTCGTAGTATAATTCAGTTATGAAAATTTAATCACTACCTAAGTTCTGAGCTCAATATCAAGATTTCCTTATTCCATGCATATTTTCCTTCCTTGTACTTCTGGTCCCACTGTGTCTGGAATTGGTGGGTTCTTGGTCTCACTGACTTCAAGAATGAAGCCGCGGACCCTCGTGGTGAGTGTTATAGCTCTTGAGGTGACATGTCTGGAGTTCGTTCCTTCTGATGTTAGGATGTGTTCGGAGTTTCTTCCTTCTGGTGGATTCGTGGTCTCGCTGGCTCGGGAGTGAAGCTGCAGACCTTCGCGGTGAGTGTACAGCTCATAAAAGCAGTGCGGACCCAAAGAGTGAGCAGTAGCAAGATTTATTGCAAAGAGTGAAAGAACAAAGCTACCACAGTGTGGCAGGGGACCCGAACGGGTTGCCACTGCTGGCTGGGGCAGCCTGCTTTTATTCTCTTATCTGGCCCCATCCACATCCTGCTGATTGGTAGAGCGGAGTGGTCTGTTTTGACAGGGCGCTGATTGGTGCCTTTACAATCCCTGAGCTAGACACAAAGGTTCTCCACCTCCCCACTAAATTAGCTAGATACAGAGTGTGGACACAAAGGTTCTCCAAGTACCCACCAGAGTAGCTAGATACAGAGTGTTGACTGGTGCATTCACAAACCCTGAGCTAGACACAGGGTGCTGATTGGTGTGTTTACAAACCTTGAGCTAGATACAGAGTGCTGATTGGTGTATTTACAATCCCTGAGCTAGACATAAATGTTCTCCAAGGCCCCACCAGAGTAGCTAGATACAAAGTGTCGATTGGCGCATTCACAAACCCTGAGCTAGACACAGGGTACTGATTGGTGTGTTTACAAACCTTGAGCTAGATACAGAGTGCGGATTGGTGTATTTACAATCCCTGAGCTAGACATAAAGGTTCTCCAAGGCCCCACCAGAGTAGCTAGATACAGAGTGTCCATTCATGCGTTCACAAATCCTGAGCTAGACACAGGGTGCTGATTGGTGTATTTACAATCCCTGAGGTAGACATAAAGGTTCTCCACGTCCCCACCAGACTCAGGAGCCCAGCTGGCTTCACCCAGTGGATCCCGCACGGGGCTGCAGGTGGAGCTGCCTGCCAGTCCCCAGCAGTGGGCCTGCACCCCTCAGCCCTTCGGTGGTCCATGGGACTGCGCACCGTGCAATAAGGGGCGGCACTCATCGGAGAGGCTCCGGCCGCACAGGAGCCCTCGGAGGGGGTGGGAGGCTCAGGCATGGCGGGCTGCAGGTCCAGAGCCCTGCCCGGCGGGAAGGCAGCTAAGGCCCCGTGAGAAATTGAGCGCAGCGCCGGTGGGCTGGCACTGCTGGGGGACCCAGTACGCCCTCCGCAGCCACTGGCCCGGGTGCTAAGCCCCTTATTGCCCTGGGCCGGCAGGGCCGGCCGGCTGCTCCGAGTGCGGGCTCGCCAAGCCCACACCCACCCGGAACTCCAGCTGGCCCACAAGCGCCCCACGCAGCCCCGGTTCCCGCTCGAGCCTTTCCCTCCACACCTCCCTGCAAGCTGTGGGAGCCGGCTCGGGCCTTGGCCAGCCCAGAAAGGGGCTCCCACAGTGCAGCGGTGGGCTGAAGGGCTCCTCAAGTGCAGCCAAAATGGGAGCCCAGGCAGAGGAGGCGCGGAGAGCGAGCGAGGGCTGTGAGGACTGCCAGCATGCTGTCACCTCTCACCACTTTCTAATCAAAGGTTTATCGCTTCTCACCCTTTTGGCTAAGCTCAAGTGTCTAACCAAAAGATTTCCCCCGTCTAACACTGTCAGCTGTCAACTGGAGAAGAAATGGGGGAGGTGAGAAGGTAATAAAAGTTATTAGCTACAAACAGTTGCTAATGTGTTTGGATTTCTTGTCCTTCTAAAACTGGCTGCTTGTGGGCTTCTCTGTGCCCCTGCATCCATAGCTCCCTGACTCCCTTTTTGTTGCTCCGTTCAGTCTTTTCATGAGGTTATCTTCAGCAGCCTTTTTCTCCCCTTACCCCACACAAAAGGAGATCAGTCCTACAGCTGCTTTCACAGTGTCCCTATGCACAGCCATTGCGGGTGCTTGCAAGCAGGCTGAAGACTCACTAAACTTCAGTTACATTCCCAATACTGCCAGGAACACACAAGGACCCACTCCACGTAGGCAGAGAGTACCAGCTACCTGTTTTTCTCTCTCACCCAGCCCTCTGCTGTCTTCCACCTCACGCAATGAAACATGGGCAATTCTCTGATCTACCAACTTTCAGAAGGATGACTAAAAGCAGTCTCTGATTTTGTGGATATTTGGGGAACATGACAGAAACTATACCATGGAGATAAGCATGGAAACGCACTTCTAAAGTCTTAAATCTTGTCTTCCGAGAAAGTATTTCCTTCCTCTGATGTCCTCTTTATAAGGCAAAGGAGCAGTGGGAAGAGGTATTGCCACAGAGTTGGTGCATTCCATTCCCTGGTTTGTGGTTTCTACCACTGAAGTATGTTTTTTTTTTTTTTAATTCAGAAAGTAAATATTATCTGTCATCTCCAAAACAAGTAGTCCCAGTGAAAACAAGATTGGTCATAAAAAAATTTAAACAATAAATTTTGATGTTGTAAGTTATCCACAGACATATATAATATGTATTATCCCATTACTTGTGAATCTTTATCCTATAGCAATGTTATTCTAGGATCATGCTTAACATTTATCCACTAAAAATTTTCTAAACATATTTATGAATAATACAAGTAAGCAGACTTTTTAACATCATTCTTGAATTTTTTTCTGTAAGTTTGCTTTTTCTTAAATTTTATTTTTAAGTGTAAATACATATTTTTAAAAGAAAAAATATTAACGGGATAAAGCCTCAGAAAATTCAAAGAGGATTTAAAACTAAAATACTATAGGTACAACATTAAAATTGTGTTAAATGGTTGGCTACAAAACTACAGATGTGAATAATATAACCATATAAAAACAGCAATGAGCTAGATAATATGATGGAAGGATAGACAGCAATTTCAGTAGGGAAATAAAAGAAAAGACAACAACATTAGGAAATAAATGAACAAAAACTATAAAAGGATTATGAGAATAAAACTGTTTCAAATGAGTGACACAACGAAGAGAGTTTTATAAATGAAAAATCAAATATTATACTGGATGGGAATACACAAGGTAGAAATGGTGTGAAGTCTCACCCATTGAATCTAAAATACAAGGATATTCAAATCAAAATATCAGAGGAGATTTTTGAAATGTGACTATTTTTTTTCTTAATTTTCTATTGGATAACAGTCACTCAAAGTGACTAGAAAACTTTTGAACAGAGAACTCTCAAATATTAACCATTTCAAATGCATCCCAGTATACCTATCTCCAATCTGTCTCTGTATCCATACATATATATATATGCAAATCAATGAAAAACATAGAGCCTTTCACTAAGTGATAAATGTGGTTCTTCACATTAGTGAAGGAAAGATTAATTATGTAACAAATTGTTTTTCCAACAATCGGGTAACCATTTTAAAAAAACAGTTTAGATTTCCCATTACACCAAAATAAAAAATACAGATGGAATTATGGTTTATATGTTATTATAACAAAAAGACTTACTGTATAAATACTACTAGAAAAATATTGTGAGAATCTTAAAATATAATATTGGCATAGAGAAGGCTTTTATTAACATAATTTGAAATCCAGCCATCAAAATAAAAATGACAAATAAATTTTAACATGATTTATTAACTATTTCCAGGGAAAAATTACTATAAACAAACTATAACAATGAAAGTAGCTTTACAACAAATAGCAAAGGAATAAATCCTGCAATAGGCATATCTATTTAAAAGATAATAAAAATATCAAAAGCACAAAATAAATAACATGAGTCATAACAGAATAAAAATGCAGAAGAAGACAGGTAGAACACAAAATAAGAAATAAAAAAAGTTTAAAATATCTGACCTTTAGATCATAGTTTTACATATATGTAACAATAAATTATGCATATGTATAAATTTCACAATTTAATTTGGAAAAGCTTTTCAGAACTTAGATTAGCAAATATTTAGAATAAATTAGTATACGTTTTAATATGTTCTGTGAAATGATATTGTTACCCATTATTAGTAGAAGTACAAATTGATACAATATCTCAGAAGAGTTTGTGGCAATGTTTATCATATGGAAATCTACATCCTTTAACTTACCAGTTTCATTTCTAGTACTGCATGTTACATATATTCACGTATACCCACATACACACAAAATAAATATTTTCGTAGCACTGTTTATAATAGATAAAAATATTTAAAGCAAGAAAATATCCAAACTTATACGCATGAAAAAGCTATCTCTGGTGAAGAGACGATAAAATGAATTGAATAGGGGACTTTATTTTCTTTTAGTATTACTATGATCACTAATTGCTGCCTTTATGACAGAAATGTTCTTATTCTCAACTTGTTTTATTTAATCCTGTTTCATTGCTAGTTTTGAAGATGTATTTTTGTTGGTCCCATCAGGATGTTGTTAATTGACAAAAAATCATGTAGGAATAGTCATAGCAATTATGCACAAAACATTTCCCAGTCTTCACTGTTTGGTTTGCCTCAGTAACTAGTTGTCCACTGAGGAAAATATCCTTTATGTTATGAAAAATATCTAATACGCAGAAACTGATTAGTTTCTTATTATCTCAAGACAAGTTAAGGAATAGATATGAAGCTCATTTCTCTGTAATCGGGTAATAGCACAAATCATATAGGACTTTAGTAACATTGTATAAGCTTTTGCTAAATAAAACGATTCTTTAATAATTTCTGTCTCATTAATAGGTATGAACCATGGTGTAAAAATATTTCCCAGTATAGGAGTATGAACACTATGTGAATGATAAGAGTAAGAGGCTAACCTTAAATACTGCATTTCTCCAATGATGCAAATTTCACAGATTCTCCTGACTCTTATAAAATGAACATTTGGAAAGCTTAGAAAATTCCTAATGACTCCTAGAAGACATTGTGACCTTCTGAGGGCCACTGTCCATCTGTCAGTGAGATTACCATACCACCTCTTGTCTGCAGAGAATCAGTGATGCCCAGAGTGTATTTGTTCCAGATGTAAATTACTGTTGCATTCAGCTAGCGAAATGCACATAGAGGGGACCAGTGTGCAAGGCAGAGACCCCACCTGGGCACAGACTCACTCTAATACAGGACAAGTCCCCTCACCACAATTACACATAATTCCTATAGACTGCAATCAACACCAGGGCTTTTGAAGCAAAACTAATCACACCATTATGGACTGGTTTTGAAGATTACAAATGACGTAAACATGAGGAATGTACACTGGAGGCCATGAGTGGCCTCTAGAATGCATTTGTCTGTGCAGTTTTAGCAGAAGTGGGGGGTGGGGTGGGGTCTTAGTGACACCAAGGGCACAACCAGAAGGCTGCAGGCTTGGCCAGGCCACACACCCCTGGGGCCAAACCAGAGCCACTTCTGAGGCCAAGGCCAACCCAGGAAAGCCCCATCCCAGAAAGGGAGGTCCAGGTCAGCTGTGCCCACAAGCAAACAGGGAAGATCTGGACTGCAAGACACTTTATTTTGGAGGAAGTCAGGGGTCTTCCTACAGATGTGTCTCAATTTTTGGTCAGACTTCTCCTAGGGCCAGCAGACGGTACCACTGGGCCCTTCTTGCCTGTTCCACCAGTGATGAGAATTAGGACACTTTCAACAAATGTTGAGCTCCATCTGAATAGGACAGAGCCATCTTCAGAGTGAAAGAGTTTAACAAATTGAAAACACACATGGATTTGCTGCTATGCAAATACAGAAGAATTTCTAATCCAATAATCTTTCCAAATGTTCACTAAAGAAAACTGATGTTTACTTGTAGGAGATTAGACTGTGTGACACCCACTGAGATACATGTCCCTAAACTCTAAAGAAAACTGATGTTTATTTGTAGGAGATTAGACTGTGTGACACCCACTGAGATACATGTCCCTAAACTATCTCCTAATCATCTCCATTTTTAATAGTATTGGAGGCAAAATTGATCTGAAACTATCTTCAACCTTTATCTATGTAAGAACTTTGGCTCACAAACATGGAGCTGGATGTGGATTTTGGCTGACACACCTCATCTTTCTGCAACATTAATTCTCTCATAATTTGCAATGATTTCAAAATCCATTTAGATTTTGCATCTGATATTCTAGTTTCTCAATCTGTTGACTTCCTTTTCTGCAATGACCATTACTAGTTACCTAGCTATTGCTTAACTCCCCAAAACACCAATAGTCACACCGCCATAATTTCAATTCCAGTACTCTATTCTCTAAACACTACCTCTATATTTTCAGCTCACTCTTTTTGGTACCCCATCTCCTGGAAATCTTAGATGCCATTGGAATGTATTGGCAATTGATACCACTACATTTGTTATGTCTAGAAACCCCTAATGTCTTTACTCGTCTCTTTTAACAGGTTAGATTGTATGATGCCTTGCTATGGTTTTAATGGAATTTCCCCTCTGAAATTAATGTAGAAACCTAGTACCAAGGGGATAGTATTGGAAGGTGGGACATTTGAGAGATGAATAGGTTATGATGGCTCCTCCCTCATGAATGGAAAGGGCCCTGATATGATTTGGATCTGTGTCCACACCCAAATCTCCCCTTGAATTGTAATTCCCATAATCCCCACGTGTCAAGGTTGGGACCAAGTGGAGGTAGCTGAATCATGGTGGTAGTTTCTCTCATGTTGTTCTCCTGATAATGAGTGAGTCTCATGAGATATGATGGATTTTTTTAAGCATCTGGTATTTCCCCTGCTTGCACTCATTCTCTCTCCTGCAGCCCTGTAAAGAGGTGACTTGCACTATGATTGTAAGTTTTCTGAAGCCTCCCCAGCCATGTGGAAATGTGAATCAACTAAACCTATTTTTTTTAATAAATTACCCTGTCTTGGGTATTTCTTCATAGCAGCATGAGAACAAATTAATACAGCCCTTTTAAAATGAGTTCTTGTTAGTGGGTTTGCTCTCTCTTCTGCTCTTCTCTAATATGAGGACACTCTTCTCCTTTTGACCTTTGACTTTTCATCATGTGAGGATGCAGCAAAAAGGAATTCAACCAGATGTTGCAAACTTGATCTTGAACTTTCCATTCCCTCCAGAACTGTGAGAAATGCATGTGTGTTCTTTATAAATTACCCAGTCTGTGGTGCTCTATCAGCACAAAGTGGACTAAAACACCCATCATTTAGCTTTTTTTTATATAGACCCTCAACATTCCTGCAATTCTCTTCCTTCATTATATTTACCTGATAAAACTCCAATGCTACGTTTAATCAAAATCTCATCTATATTCACCTGCAACAGTCCCTGAACAAGGCTGCCTGAAGGCTTTAACTTAAATTCACAACCCTTAAGTGGGCCACTCAATTCAGCAACCATTTACCATCTTGTATCTCCTTAAATCACTAAGACCCCTCTCCAATTGCCACGGTTAGCTGATAATGCTGCCCTTTTTCCCATCGAGAAATTAAAATAAACTAAAAGAACAATTCTTGTTTTTTCTACCTACATGAAGCTACCTACATCAGAAGTCATGTATTTTGCTTTCTGGATGAGCAGATCTTGGTGTAACCTAATGCTAACTTTTCTACTTCTGCATTAAATTATTTTCCATTTTATTTACATCATAAAATACACTGTGTCATTGATGCCTCTCTAAGACCTATTATCAATTGTCTTTAATTTTCTCATAAACTAAGAAAAATGCGATATAAATCTAATGTTGAAAAATGATTTTTGCCAATTTCACCTTCTGCCTAATTTTTCAGCACCATTTATCACAAAACTCCTTAAAGGGGTTGTCTATATTCTCAGTTTTCATTTCCTTTCCATTTTTTTTCTTCTCCAACTTTTATTTAGAATCAGGGGGTACATGTGTGGGTTGTTACAAAGATATAGTTTATGATGCTGAGGTTTTGGGGTATGTCTGAATCTGTCACCCAGGTAGTGAGCACAGTACCATAATACCCAATAGGTAGTTCTTCAGTTCATGCCCCTTCCCACTCCCTATCTTCCCTATCTAGTAGTCCCCAGTGTCTGTTGTTCCCACCTCTATGTCTATGTGTACTAAATGTTTAGCTCTCACTTATAAGTGACAATATGCAGCATTTGGTTTTTCTTTTCTGTGTTAGGGCATAAGATAAGCTTCCAGGGATAAGCTTCCAGCTTTATCCACGTTTCTGCAAAGGACACCATTTCATTATCTTTTATGCACATGTAGTATTCCATGTTGCACGTATACCACATTTTCTTTATCCAATACACCATTGATGGGCACCTGGGTTGATTCTATGTTTTTGCTATTGTGAATAGCCCTGTGATGAGCATTTCTTATGAACATACTTCAATCAAGCTTTCATTTTCAAGACTATACCAAAACTGTCCTTATCAGAGTTACAGGTGATACCCACTTTGCTCAGTCTTGTGGACAACTTTCAGAACTTGAAATAGTGGCATAATCAGCATTATTTCATATATTTAATCACTCTCTCTCTGACCAAATTAATATTTTCTATTTCATAAGACAGTTGTAATGCCCTTGTATGTTTCTAGGACTTCTCTGATTTCCAAGACAAGAGGATTCCTTGCAACTGCATGTTGCTGTAAAACAGTCTTTCAAATTATTTTATTATCCTTTGTTTAATGCATGAATGACTCACTATAATGTTACCTTCTTAAGGACAAAATCATGTCTGTTTTTTACAGTACCATAGTTCCAGTGCTTAGCCTGCTGCCAGCATATGACAGTTGTTCAATAAATGTATTGAATAAATGAATGCATAAATATTTTATAAGGTTTTTCTGTTTCCTTTCTCTGGTATTTCTAACACTCTGTCAATTCTATTCAGATTAATGAGGAATAAAGAGTTTAAAAATATTTCACATAGTTTGGCTCATCCTCCTGTGTAGTCACAAAATCAAATGAGACAAGAATAAAAAAAAACTATACCTAATTACTTACATAGTAGGGATAAAAGAGTAGTATTCAAATAATATTCTAAAATAGTATATAAATTTGAACAAGCTAGGAGTTGTAAATTGTTTGGGCAAACAACTTAAAATCCTTTAGTATTTCTGTTTATGAAATGAGTCTACTTTATTAGTTGACTAACACTTACAGAGTTGGTTATATTTTGCCAATAGGAAATTAACATGAAGACATCTTTATAATTTGTGGTCCCAGACTCCCTTGCTATTTCTTAAATGTCAAATTAAAACTCAGAGACCTTTCATGTTCGTGTGTCTGCAACTCTATTTACCTATATCTCCACCTGATTTGTGCCTTCCTTTTCTTAAGGTCTTTGCTCAAATTAAAATTGCATCCTGTCCCTAATTCTACCTTGCCAGCTTTATTTACCTCATAGTACTTATCATTGTGTAATATACCGTATAATTGAACTCATTTATTGTTTTTCTTTTCTGTCTCTATGCACCAATAGCATATAATCTTCATAGAGGTAAGAATTTCTGTCTTTGTTCACTGTGAGATACACAGTGATTTAACAATCATTTGGCACAAGAAGCACTCAATAAATATTTATTGAAATGAATGATCTTTACCTTTTAGTGTCTTTCCTCAGAAAATTAACAGCTCAGTTACCTACTGTGGTCACCTTTTCTCCTAAAATAAGCTTACGCTTATGCTGACTAAAATAAAATACATTGAATTAAATTCAATTAAAACTAGTTAAGGTTTATCTGCTTGGGAAAAGTGGCATCCTCATCTCAAGGTATCTGAATTTTTGAGGAGGTAACATATTTGCATGATTATCCCTATATTTCTAGGAGTTATTGTGTTTCCCAAGTCTGTTCTGTTTAAAAAGTTGAAATTCAACTCACTGTGTTTTGCCTTTTGATTCTTACCTGAACCCAGTCATCAAAACAGCATTGCCTTTGATCTTTATCTAGCAAAAACATAGTATTTGCAACAATTTTGTTTTGTCTAGTAGACTTTACTAAGCCTTTTATGAGCAGAATAAGTCACAGAATTGCTAATAGCATATTGAATATTTAACATTTTTGTTTTTAAAAGTACCTTTTACACATTTCACCACCACAGGTTCCAGATCCCTGACTTATCATCTCATCTGCTCCTGGCATCTCTTTTGCTACTTCTCTCCAGTCTTCTCAAACCCCCATTTATGCTTATATATTAAGCAAAGTACTTTAGTCATCTTTTTTACTTTTTTATTCTTATACAATTCGAAATCTAATGGTTATTTCTTAGTGAAGTGATTTATTGATATTTACTTTTAAACAAAGTCACTTCTTGCACCAGGAGAAAATTTGATTGGAGTGTATTCATGCTGGTATAATATTTTTATATTTATTTGCTGCATAGTCATGTAACACAAACTCAATGTAGGCTGTTTTGCTCTTTTCAATTGTGCTTTCACTTAAAATATATACACGCACATGCTTTGCTGAAACCACCATGAGGCAGCTGTTGTGGACAGATGGCCTGTGTTGACTAGAGTATAATAAACTATATTAAATGCAATTAACACATTTTCTTACATCTAACAGGAAGTAGTTGAGTGTCATCTATTTCAGCCCTAAGTACCTTTTGGGTGTACACATGCATTCAAAAATCCTCAGATGCCATGCGTTTTTTAAGTGAGCACTTCTGTCAGCATTTATAAAAATGTCTAAGCTTCTTGATTATAATTACTGCTAGTTATAAAATAAAAACAACACCAGAAAAAAAATCCATACTGACCATGTTGAATTAGGATACTGGTTTAAGAGTATTTTTGCTTTTATAGTTATTTTGATTTTTCTTAAATAGCCCTTAAGTAAAGCAGCAACCACATTTAACTCATCTCAATTAAAACAAAAAAAAGAGAAAATAATATTTTGGTTTTTTTAAATTTTATATTTTACATTGAAAGAAAAAGTGTATGTATTTACTGTGTACAAGGGCATGTTTTGAAGTATACTGTATATGCATTGTAGACTGACTAAATCTGGCTAACATAGACATTGCCTCACAGAGTTTTTATTTTGTGGTAAGAATACTTTGTGTACATTCTTAGGGTTTTTCAAGAATGCAATACATTATTAACTATAGTCACCATGTTGTTGAACAGATCTCTTCAACTTTTGTCTCTTCTCTAACTGAAATTTTGTAACTTATTCTTTCCAAAAAAAATCTGTATATATAAGGGCAAGTAAAATTTACCAAAAAAAAAAAGATAAATACATGTAAATCCTAGTGTGATAAAACTACTTTCTATATGTTTTGAAACAATTTATCAGTTATCTCATTAAATATTCTTTTAAAAGAATGTGCTTTTAGAACTTTATTATTTTTAATCATGGATGTCAGACAGTTATTTGATTATGTATTGCAGCTTATTTCAAATTTTAAAATCCAAATGAATACAATAATAGCTGGTAATATTAAGTACTTGCTGTATTATAAAATAACTCTAAGCATATTGCCAACATAACTATTATCAATTTTCCTATATTTTTGGTGGAGAAATCTGAAAGACAAAGAGAAAGTTTACAGTTGAAGTATTAGATTCGTACTTTGATACTTCCTAATCTGAATCTAAATCATCCACTGTTAACACCATGCTACACAGCTTGCCAAAATTAGCTCCAAATAACTCTCAGGAAGTGAAATGCAAGATTAAAGATAATCATTTAGGCGTTACTAAAGTATTTCTTAACTACATTAATTGTAACTTTGTTACTTGGTATACAAGTGGACATTTTTCTTAGTAACCCAAATGAAGATTAAAAGGATGCTTATAGTATTACCTAACATGAACAGCAAACAAAATCTATGAATATTGAACCTAAAAGGTCCAGTTTGAAGATCAATGTGCACTATCACTCTATGGAATCCATGTCTTACGTAGCATTTAGAGAGAAATAGTAGCAATTTAACAGATTTGTAGAAATATAATCTTTTGGAAGAGCTGCCATTGTTTTTTGCTTTTTAATATGTTTTCTATTAAATACGTAATGCATAGCTTTGTTATAAATGTAGAAATAACATCAACTTTAAACATCTACCTATAACATCATATGATGGAAGAGGACTAAAAAACTATGAATTACAACACATGAAAAGCAAGTTTTACAGTCTGAAATGCAACACAGTTTTAAAAGGGTGAAACTTTAATAGAAATGCCCAAAATATTTATATCTATCTGTCATTTTCACTGTTGCAGTTGCATTTATAAAATACCAATGGGAAGATATTTTGGATTATAAAAGTGTACTTCTTAATGTGAAGATATGGCACATGTGCTATGAAACCAATCAACAAACATCAAGTTTATCGAGCACTTAATACTACCATTGTTAGTGTTATTTTTTGGAATTTAAAGGGCCCATAAGGAAAGTCATTCTAATTTCACATCAGAAGGCTGAAACTCAGCTAATGAATTCTCTGCACTGTGATAACAATAGGGGATCTAGAAAAAAGTAATCTGCATGATTCTAACTTTGAAGGTTTTATAGACTCTGGAAAGGACTGATGCACATAAAAAATTAGCAAAAATGTGAGAAAGAATGTATGTAGAAAGAAAATGGTCAGTTACAAATAACAGTTTCTACAATTTGCAATGAAAAGTCCTTGGAAAAAGTCCTCTGTGGACAATGTTCATGCTGATGTTTGTGTCCTTCTCTTTTTATTGCCTGTGGTAGGAAATGTTTCTTTCTCCAGCTTATCTCTTAAAATCATACTGACTTAAGTCAACCATTTCAACTTCTGCAGTGTTATTCAAAACAGCACTTTAAATTATATAATCTTTAATTTCCTAATACTACTTATAATGCATTTTATATAATATGGTGATTTCTGGGTTTCTGTTTATGTTACTATATCCCTTCAATATCCCCCAATCCACTTCATAGATACTAAGCATACAAGGGTGTATAAGTATTGCTCTCATCTTTGCCCATTTCTCTCTCTGGGCTTAAAATGCAGGTCTATATATCTGTTAAAAATCCAACCTCTCTTAAAGGATTAACTCCACAGGGACTTCCCTATTTATTTCCTTAGAAGTAATAATGTCTCAGGATACTTAGGGTGTTGCTTCACTAGCCAGAAACCTCTGTGGCTGGTGACACCTCTGCTTGAGTTTTGCTCACACCCAATGGAATCATTTCACCCACTCAGTATGACAGGCTCTCACTACCAGCCTGGATCCCATGCCTGCCAGGGGTGAGCCAGGTGCAGAGTGGCAAAAGGTATGTGACCCAGCAAGCGTGGGGTTTGACCACTGCGCAGACCCAGGCACACCAGCTGTTGCAGTAGGGCAGACAGCTCTAGGCACCAGCTGCATGTGAGGCTGTGGCTGGACCAGAAACACCACAAGTGGATTCCACTACAGGTACCAGTGTCTGGACCAGGGGAACGTGGTTGCACCACAAAACTCTGAGACACCAGTAATTTCAGAGCCTTAAAGAGGGTGTTATAGAATGTCACATCCCTGGCTTGAGGAGCCCTGAGGTCTGGGCTCCCAGAAGGTCTACAGCTCTTCTCTCCTTCTCATTGCTCACATCACAGCTAGCAAAGGTGCATGTTTTGGTGGCAGGGGTGAGGGTGGGGAACATGTGTTCTGCCCATTTGTGTTATAGCTCTTTCAGTCCTGCTTCCCCACTCCGGTCCATTTCTCCTGTGGCCTGGCCCTGCCGCTGCTTTCTGTCACATGAGGTGGCTGGCCAGTGCCAGCAGAGGGTGGCAGGGCTATAGTGTTACAGCCCTTTCAGCTCCTGCTTTCAGCACAATCATCTGGCCAGTGAAGTGTTACAGTGTGTTTAGCTCCTGCCATTTGGCAGGTCCTGAGTTCTTGTCCCACATCCAGGAAGAATGAAGTGACATGTACAACTAAAGTGTGAGCAAAGTGAAGAAGACCTTTACTGGGTGACTGAACAACTCTCAGCAGGGAGGAGACTCAAAGTGGGTAGTGCCTATCAGCAGGGAGGTAGTATTGAGGAGTGTCTGAGTCTGGCTGAGTCTGGGAGTTTTATAGGCTCAGAATGGAGGAAATGCATGCTGATTGGTCCATGGTTGATCATGGGCAGTCCTGAAAAAAGCACCAGTTGATTAGCCAAAAGGCATCATGGAAGTTCTCACTCCAAGTCACAGACTTCACATGGAACTTGCAGCCCAGCCCCCAGGCTTCAGGCCGTCAATGGCTTGAAGGGGAGGTTTCACTGTGGACTTACTCCTTCCCACCTAGAAACCGGTCTGCCTCCCACCACCATCAACATACCAACCACAGCGCACAGACTATCCACACTGAATGGCACCTGCAGGCCCATGCTGAGCTGCCCTCAGCCTCCCAGCCTCCCTCCCATGCTCATCTGCGCAAAATATTTTAGTCTCAGCATCAGTTTCCAGCAAGGGTGGCAAGGCAGTGCAAGATTGTTGTTTTAGCATGACTGTGACTGCATGCACACCCAGCCAGGTCACAACAGCACTCAGGCTCAGCTATCAGGACACATCCACAACTTTGCTCCACTGAAGAGTGGGTGCCAGGAGTGCAGAGAGGCCAGAGAGTGGGTACAGACACTTTTTTTTTTTTGAGACAGAGTCTCACTCTGTCACCCAGGCTGGGGTGCAGCACCGCAATCTGTGCTCACTGCAAGCTCCACCTCCTGGGTCCAAGTGATTCTTCTGCCTCAGCCTCCCAAGTAACTGGAACTACAGGCATGCACCACTATGCCTGGCTAATTTTTGTATTTTTAGTAGAAAGGTGGTTTCACTATATTGGCCAGGCTGGTCTTGAACTCCTGACCTAATCCGCCCACCTTGGCCTCCCAAAGTGCTGGGATTACAGGCTTGAGCCATTGCACCCGACCTGGAGCAGGCACTTCTAAGCCTGCAGTGTCAGGGGGTTTACTGTACCCCCAAGAGCACAGGGATGCCCAGGTCCGGAGCTGCAGCTGGGCAGCTGTAGCTGGGCCAGGGAGTACAGACTCCCACCCCTCTAACACAGTAGGGTGTGGGGCTCTTGCTGGGATCACCTGTTCCTGCCCCCTGCCAACTCCAGATTACACAGCCCCAGCTGAGCCTCCCCTGATGCAGCTGGCATCCTCGCAGTGGCCACTTCAAATGGTCCACCATCACAGCCATCAATAACTATCAGTTTCCTTCATGGAAAACACTGAATATGTAACCCTCACATTACACTTATAAAATGCTATTTTCAAATGTATAGGTGTTTCAGCCACTGAGTAGCTGGGATTAAAGGTCTGCACCACCATTCTCAGGTAATTTTTGTAGTTTCACTAGAGACCCTGTTTCAACATGTTGGCCAAATTCCTGATCTCCAGTGATCCTCCCACCTCAGCCTTCAAAGTGCTGGGATTACAAGCATGAACCACTGCACATGGCCTAGAATCATTTAGAAAGGTTAAAAAAAAGAAGAAAGTTAATGAGAAAATTTAAATAAATTATAGTTTATCAGCAAAATTACATGTTATGTCTATTAAATATATTCCAAATGATTTCTTAAATTTAAAAATAAAATATATGATTTTATTTTTATTAAAATAGCACATTCTACTTATGTGTATATATAATGCTGTGTTTCGTGCATTAAAAATATTTGGGAAAATACAGATAGCCAACAGAGACTGCTAGACAGAAATGAAAATCTATCCAACACATGGCTATAGAGAATTTAAATGACTAAATTAAACACTAGTATAATTTTCAGCCTTAAAAGTAATTTGGCTCTTTTCATACCTAATTAAACATGGGAAAGAAAGTAGATGTGTGTGTAATATGTAATTGAAGTTCTAGAGTTCATTCATTACCTTTGGTATCTCAATAATACAGTTTATTTTAATATTTAAAAAAATCAATTCAAGAAAAGAATATTCAGATAAAATGGTTGTGTGTAATTTTAATTCACTTTTTATGCAATTAATGCATAAAATAGGATGCTTGAATTAAAATAAGAAATACAGGTAAAATTCTTAATTTTAAGATCTTATTTTTAAACATCACTAGAGAGGTATTTCCCAATTAGTTAATATTATAAGAACTTCCTGTTAAATATTCTCATATCACAATTATGAGAAACAGCATGATCACTTGGCCATATTTTGTATCAAGTAATTATACCTAATTAGGAATTTTTGTTTGCACTGATAATACACAACAATGTTGACGCCATATAGTACAATCAGGATAGCAGGACCAATGTTCAACTCCATCACAATTACAGGATAAGTGCTCAATAAGTAGTTACTAAGTGAATGAAGATGATTTTAGTTCTATTTTGTTACATCATACTCAGGCAAAATGTATCCTTTTAACTTATTATTGTATTTAAAGTAATATTCTGTGATATATGTGATGTTAAGTATTTATTTAAATGTTTTTTATTAGATCCTATACAAAGTTTTGTTTCTGCCTTCTAAGCACTCTGGAAAAATACCTAGAATCCAAAATCATTAGCATAAAAACATTCTCATTTGCACACATAAATTTCAGGTTTCAAACTGACAATTAGGATAATCAAAAACTATACAGGATTTTTATCCATGAGAAATAAAAGTAACAGATCCACATCAGCTTCATTTTGTTCTTTAGAGCTTTCATAATCCATTGACTCAGGCTTGCTAAAGATTTGACTAGTCTCATCACTGAAAGGGCAAACTGCAAGAGACTGAGAAAAAGTACGACTGGAAGAAGACAGACAATTAAATATAATAGTCCTTGAAAAGTAGTTATTGGAGAAATTAAAATCGAAAACTGATGAAGCAGGGGCTATCTCACAAACATACTTACTCCAACTTACCTTCTGTAAGGATATTCCTTGAATGTTGTAAGAAGAAACACTACTTTGAGAATTAGTTCCTCATTCCCACTCATTCCATAGCATCACTAAGACAGCATAATGATGCTACAGAATGAGCATCACTTTTAGGCTCCAATTGGAAGGAAAAAAACTAACCATGTTACTTGTCAAAAGGCCAGAAAGTGAAAATATGAGAAATAACTTCTGGTGTATTATTATCAAGACGAAAAAAACTATTAGAAATTATGATGTAATCAAATATATTAAGTTTTTTAAAGAGTCAGGTTTTAAAAGATATTTTCTGTGATACTTTTCTCATTTTTAGGCAGATCATTCAAATTTTCACATAATTTTTGCAAAAAAAAGCCTATCTTCAGGTTTACAGGCTATTTTGAATTTTTTGTTAATGCAGCATTCATTAATCTACAGATATCCAACAGGTTTTCAAATACCAGCTATAATTTGAGGGTTTTAACTCTTAAGCAGTTGATAAAAAAAAAAAACCTACCAAAGCACTTATTTATCTATCTATGTAAAAGGTTTAGTCTAATCAATGTTTCCTCCATCAGACAAGGTTGACCAATAAAGAGTAAAGTACTAAATAGTCATTTGATAGCATTTCTCTTGAATACTAACTTAATATATGCTCAAATATTCTAAATGTTTTGAAATTTGTTTACTTAAAATACACATTTACATAAAATGCATTTTTTATAATTACTTGATTTTCAGATTTCACAATTTACAAAGTAAAACTTCTAGATAGGGTAAAATACTTCCATTAGTTTGTTACCAGTGGCATGTATCCGAATTACCTGTGGCAAATCCACAGAGATCTGTAGCAACCTCAACTTTTGCCTCCTTGGAAGAAAGAATATGACTGCGGGGCATAAGGCAGAAGGAGAGATGGAGGCAAATTTGAGTAGGAGTGAAAATGTATTAGAAAGCTTTAGAACAGTAAGGAAAGGAAAGAAAAGGAAAGTACAACTTAGATGAGGGCCAAGTGGGTGACTTGAGAAACCAATTGGGCAGCTTGACCTCTTGACTTGGGGTTTTACATGTTGGCATACTTCCAAGATCTTCCATTACTTCTCCTCACTCCTGAAATCTTATTTGGAAGCTGCTGATTGGTTTCAGGTGTTTTCTATTAGGAGCCTGCCTTTCCCTGGCACTGGCTGTGACCCATTATTAAATAATTGGATAATATTTAGATAAACTGTTAACAATCACCTGACCATCACCTGATGGTCACCAACACTCCTAGTGTGTGTCTGTTTGGGGTGGGGGAAACCTCTCCTGCCCAGCTCATACCTAACTAGCTACCCAATGTAACATGTTCATTTATTTTAATCAGGTGGTGGCCCAACACTGAGTTTAAATATAATAATATTCCATTTCCAGAAAACCTAGACAAAACATTTCAGCTTTGAGGACAGATAACCATCAAAATAAAAACACTTTCAAGTCACATACTTCAAATTAGAAAAGAAAAGCAATCTTAAATACAGAAATATATTCCAGTCCCTAATAGAACAGATGCACACACAAATTACTATTAAACCTTTCCTTTGGTTAATTTACTTTTTGTAGCATTTTCTGGAATGTAAGGAATTGAAGTGAGAGATGCAAAATGTTAGTGTAGCTTCATTGGTCATCTTTGGTAAACATGGATAAGGATTTCAAGGTGAAAAAAAGGCTGCCAATTGTGGAAAAATGTATTCGCTTGTTCTAGTCACTTCTTTATGTTGAATATAATAGGGAGAATAAATAAATAAATGTGCTATTCAAAATATATTAAGGTTAGATATTACTTCAACACTTTTGGTAATTTAGTAATTCAGTCAAAAGTACTGTTGGAAATTTCCAAATTCTAAAAGAACTTTTTTTGCAAGACTAGCATTTTTCAAATCTTGTGTAATATTCAAGAAAACTAGTATTTCCTAATGAATATTTCTGACACTGATGATGATGTTAATACATATTTTGCAAGATATTTTCAACGATTTTGTTGTAATTAGTCTGTTGTCCATAGTATGACTCTTCAAAGTTCTTGCTGTATCTAAGTTTATGTTATATGATATAATTAAAGATGTTTTACTTTGCTAAAGCAATCAGCACCTCCAAAATTATCAGTTGGCATGAATGTTATTATGCAAGCAGAGAAAATCCACTTTATCTGTCAACTTAAAATTTTTATTTTAAGTTATGTAACATAATTTATTAAGCCTAGATGACTGAGTCATCCCAATAATTTTAAGAGATAGCTCTCCCTTATATTAAGGGGAAAAAGGAAAAGCTTTATCTAATACAAAGTTCTATAGATTGGTTATATAATGAACTTTTCTACTGTAATACAAGAGTGAAAAGGTTAATCTACCAAGCTAAGAAAGCCTCCTCACTAAATTAGCATTTGAATAAGATATTTATGTTTATTCATTATATCATCATATTGCCAGATAAAATAAGCATACTGGCTCCAAAACAGTATGTTTAATTGCTTATTAACAAAGATAAGAAATGCTTATAAAATGATTATAATGTAAGTTTTTAAAGCACATATAAACAAATTCCAACTATCTAGAGATGACCATTCTCAATGTTTTAGAGAGGACCTCCCCAAATCTTATCTTAGCCTGCCAGTCCATATCATATCAATATCAATTTTGAGTTTTAAGTTTTTAGTTTAGTTTAACCAATGCTTCCCATGGCATGACAAGATTCACCCACTATCAAACATACAACATCTGAATCTTGTAACACAAAAATTTTACAGAACCAGTTAAACAGGAAAGGGTGACTTTTTTCAAAACTATTGACAAAATAGTCTTCTGAATAGCCATGTACCTGGTTCAAATTCAAGCGGTTTTATTGGTAAGTAAAAAGGAACAAGTGGATATGAAGAGAAATCTAGCAGATTCTGCCACTGTTGACCTCTTTAGTTATTCAAATACCCATGTTTACATTTATTTCCTTTAGAATAATATACTCACCACTTCTCTGAGTGAGACAATCATCAAATCCAATTTGATTACAAAATTCATTTCAGAGTTGGAAATCTGAGTCTGGATATTGTGCATTCTCCCAACATGACTAATTTGAATGATGAAATAAGAAAAAATTATCACAAGAAAATCTTTTTTAGAAAGGGAAATGGTTTTAAAACACAGCTATTAGTCATCTATAGCCATAGGCCAACACTATCTTCAGGAATTGCGAAGATTCCATTTGTGTTAGGGAAAGACATCCTCTTGTTAGCACTTTTGAAAAACCTGCCTGAGATCTCCCTAAAGAATTCCCTTGTCTGTTGTCCTCCATGGCTTCCAGTCCAAGCCCTTGAGAAGTGATTTACTTTCTTTCCTCCTCAAATCTGAAGTAGCTTTAGAGAGTATGGTCTTCTGGGCTAACCAATTTACATTGCTCATTTACTACTGAAGGCTGGTCTGGAAATCTAGGAATTGTCTTAGAGTTTGATATTTGCAGGTCTAGTTTGTAGCCACCAGGCAAAATAAAATAAAATAAAATAAAACAAAACATAAAAATTCCCTATAAAACATTTTAGATGTTCATTCTACTTTCTTCTAGTTAGCTTATTATGCAAGTAGCATTTCCAAAGATCTCATCCAGATATGGAGTCTTAGTCTTTCATTGCAGGCCTCTGTAATAAAATTCACCTTCCTATATTTCAACTTAATGGCTACTACATTGAGGGTTGCATGAGAAGGCACTCCACATAATACTCTCTGCTGGGTTGCTCACAGCCTTTGATTAGGGCATCAGTTTAATCTCCTTCTAAGGCTGCCACTTCAGCACCATTGTTTGCAACTGCTTCACTTTGAGGTAGAGGAGTTGAATTTTCAATTCTGTCAGTCTACAAATTTTGAACTTTTAGCTTGATTGCAGGCTCTAGACAAAGGCTTTGTTTGCAAAGCTATATTCTTTTCCATATCTGCTTTCAATGGGCAAGTCTAGCCTGAGATGTTTTCTTTTTTTAGAATTATGCTTAAAGCTACTAAAACCAAAAAACTTTAAGAATTTTTCCTACCATTTCCCATAAAGCTTTAACAATTTCTAACATTGAAAGGCAGCACCAGTGAAAGCATAACCAGTGTTTTCCATGGCATAACAGTGATACGGCTTGGATGACCAGAGAAACACACAGGGTCCTTTGTCTCGCGCTGATAAGATTAAGGACAAGGACATACATGGAGTGGTCTTAGGAGCAGAAAGTTTAATAAGCAAGAAAGAAGAAAAAAGCTTCCCCGTACAGAGGGAAGGCGGGGTTCTGAAAACAGAGGAATCCTGTGTGTAGTGGAAAACAGTCAATCATATTGGGAGGCTGGAGGAGATGGTGTCTGATTTGCATAAGGCCCAGGGGATTGGTTTGACCAGGTGTGTCATTCACGTAGCCCATGAAATAAATTGGCCCTCCAACCCTAGCCTTTTAATATGCAAATGCAGGTCACCATGATGTCCTGCACACGTGGTGTTACCTGGAGGTGGCCATGACACCTGGCACATGTGGTGATAAGTATAAGAGGGTGGGAACCACCATGTTGACTGGACCTTTTTTCTACTCGCTGGCATTTACATATCAATGCTTGCCAGTCTGGCTTTCCAAGCTGCTTTCTGTTAGAAAAGAAATGTTTGGGGAACTGTTTTATTAAAAGAAAAAGCCTTACCAAAGACTTCTTACTCTTTCTATCTGCCTAAAATAATTTCTTAATAACTCCTGTAATATTCCTCCCGGAAAATATATCACCCTAACTGCTATTAGGAGGTTTCGGGCAACGGCTCGCATCGGCTCTTTCTGGCTACTTCCTGCTAAAAAGGGGCGTCAGGAGGTGAACAGCACCTAGGGTTCCTCCTGGGGTCAATCTAAGGGTTCTTGGAAGAATGGCACATCCATGCATGTTTCGATTTTCAGCACCATTTGGAGTTTGATTGCTTCTAGGCAAGAGGAAACAATTCGAGTTATGCTATTGAGTATACAAGGCCCAAATATTAATACAAGACACAAGCAAGAGGGGGCTTAATAAAGAGCTAACCAATTCCATAAGGAACACTGGAATTCATTAAAGAGGGATTGCAGGCACCGAAAGCTGAAGCCTGCATTTTCTCTTAACCTGTCAATGATTTTGATTTGATCTTTAAGTATCTGTAGGTTTTCCTCTACTAGACTAGAGGTGTTAATCCAGAAGAAGCATGTTGGATTTAAAAGTGCACAGGTAGGCCGGGTGCAGTGGCTCATGCCTGTAATCCCAGGACTTTGGGAGGCCGAGGCAGGCAGATCACGAGGTTAGGAGATCAAGACTATCCTGGCTAACATGGTGAAACCCCGTCTCTACCAAAAATACAAAAAATTAAAAAAAAAAAGTCCACAGGTACCTCCTACTTCAGCTATATGGACATCTAAGGTCCATCCATTTTGTGCTACTACTGAGGCTAAAGAATCAATAGATTGCTGTTGTGCCTCTATGGCACCTACAGTTGCCTTCCATCTTTGTTGCATCGTAGTGGAAATATTAAGTACTGATCTTTCAAGGAGAGGGATGCCCGCAAACCAAATAGACCTCTGGCTATAGAATTTTCCATGCATGGTTTTTCTAAGATGGGATTGTTATGTGCATGCTCTGCCCAGTCTGCCCTTTCAGTTAATCTTCATGTGAGGGCATAGAAATGAAAGATCTCTTTGTCCAGTGTATCTGAGATAGTGCAGTTTCTAGAAAAGAGCCTAAGTTAGGGATGTCTCCAGATGATGCTGACATCTCAGTAGAATTTAAAAATAATGTCAGGAACTACTGCTACTCTAGTACATGTTCCCTTCCAGTGCCTTGGAAAGACTAAGTGTAGCCAGGAGCCACAAAGAAAATACACCTCTGTTCCTTGAAGGAACAGTTCTAAGTTTGGCTTGTGAGAAAAACTGGCAGATTTTTCTCGTATCTTAGAAGTTTCCCTTTTTTATGTATAATAGGGGCATCCTTGAGATAAAGGTACCTGTATTTAGGATAATCATTTATGGTGCCATTTGGAATTTGACATGCCAAGTGAGAAGGGTCCACCTGACAAATGGAGTTTCAATTATTTAATTGACAACAAATCTTGAAAGGAGAGGTAGAAATGACAAAAAGTATTTTGTGAGGTAGTAGGTCTCACTCAGATACTTATCTTTATTATTTTCAGCTCAAGATCTTCTATTTCTTCACATTAATATTGAGTATATTCCTCTGGGCTATAAGGGGTTGCTCCCTCAGCTCTCCAGGCTTTGACTCAAGTGGGATGTATACAGGAGTCAATTCCTGTAACTTTTATTTCCAAAGGGGTTAAAAGAAGAACAGTGTAAGACCCTTTCAAGCTTGAGCTTAGGGAGCAAGAGAGAGAAGGGAGAGCTTTTTACCAGTATCAAATCTCCTGGGTTAAATAGAGGTGGTCTTATTTCCTGGGGTTGGGCTTTTGCTAATTGTGCTAATTCCTGTTGAAAATGAGCCAGAGAGGCGTTACATGCTTAGCTAGCTCAGAGGTTTCCTGATGTAATAGAAAATGATTGGTAGGTAAAGGTCATCCATATAGCATCTCAATAGGGCTAAGACCTAGTTTTGAAGGGATATTTCTTATTCATAGCAAGGCCATGGAAAGAATAGAAACCCAAGGAAGGTGAGTTACTTGGGATAATTTTCTGAGGTGTCTCTTGATAATGTCATCAGTTTTCTCTACCTTTCCTGAGGATTGGGTCTCCATTGGCACAATGGAGATGATATTCCATTTCTAGTGCTTTTGAGACCCCTTGTGTGACAGCTTCCTTAAATGAGGTCCCTCCTTGTGTGGGGGGGAGCTTTTTTCTTCTTTCTTGCCTATTAAACTTTCTGCTTCTAAAACAACTCCACCTGTGTCCATGCCATTACTCTTATTGGGGCAAGACAAACGACCCTGGTGTTTCTCCAGTCATCGGAGCCATATCATTTTGGTGTGTTGACTGGGAAACCAAGGTACAACATTCACTGGAGTAGTGAGTATAGGAGTGAACTTAAAAATCTGTTCTACCATTCTGAGGCAATCTCAGCCTCTATTTTAAAATCAAATCAAATCAATCAATGAGCATTCGTCAGCCAGTTAAAAATACGCTTATTGTGGCCACTGCTCTAAAGACTCAGATGTCAGGCTTGTTGGTGAGAACATGGAGAATACCCACGCGTCATTGGGAATGTTGGCCATCTTTCAAATCAGTTTCTTTTCACAGTGAAACTTAGCCATCATGCAAGGCTGGGGAAAGTTCTGAGGCAAGTGAGAATTTCTGGCCAGGATACAGCCTGGTGTTATCCAAAGGCTTCTAAACCAGACCCAGTCTCTGACAGCTTGCTCTGGGTGTTGGTAAAGAATCCCCAGTTATTCTGTCAAAAACTTTTCTTCTTTTTCTATCCATGGTCTCTTTCTCCATTGAATGTGCAGGAATTTTTACAGCCTAGGGAAGTAATCCTGTTAGGCAAAATCAGGAAATGCTGTAGTAACCGAAGATATAGCTCTGGAATGCCATTGCAATCTTCTAAGAACAGAGATCTCCACTTCCGCCACAGTGATGTTACTTGCTACTAATCCGCTGGTGAGCACATGTCATTTCTAAGCCTATAGGGCCACCTAGTGGAAATAGAAATCCTCTTCATAAAAAACTTTGCTGGCCCGCTGTGGTACATTGCAGCATCAAAACTTTGTATTTTTGTGCTTTTCTACTGGAAACTAGGCTTTATGCTACTTCCGTGAATAGGAAAATTCTGCTTTCAGCTATTAAGAGTAACATGTCCTCCACAACCAAATTTTAGTCCTGATACTGTCCCATCAGCAGGAACATTGCCATTAGGTCCCCACATCCCTTTAAGGCACCTACTCTTTCTCTGATTAAGACAGTACTTAATCAGTAAGGGGATTTTAAGTTCGAAAGTTAACTGGAACTATTTTTCTAATGGTAAATGTTTTAGCCCTGGCCATAACAGCAGGAAATCTAGCACATTCCGTCCATTAAAGAAGCCTTGCCTTTTATATAGTCTCCCAGATCCATTTTTTAGGGAGACACACAGGTCACACAAGTCTAAAAAGTCAAAGGGAAATCATAAGCAGAGGACTAGGGCTATTTGGGTAAGTGTGATTGGCCTAAAAGTCTAGTTCCTATGGTGCCATTGCTAAGAGGGTCATGCCTACAACCACTGAAGGCACATTTAACAGGGTGCTGGGACCCAGGAACCAGGGAGGGAACATAGTTGGGGGGACGCCCCCACTGTTTTCTTCTCTACCCTGGGTCACATACAGAAGGGAAGGAGACTAAAGGGATGCCTTCTCTCCCTTCTCTTTCTAGATGGGTAACAGATCATCTTCAGCATGCAGTCTCTTGGAGTGCATTTTAAAGCACTGGGACTCCTTCAATCCTGAGAAGAAAAAAAGAAAAAGCACCTGATAGTTTATTGCACAAGGGCATGGCCTTCTTACCATCTTGGGAACAGACAAACCTGGACTGGTAGAGGAGGCCTTGATTTCAATATTATCCAATAGTTAGATCTTTTCTGCATACAGAAGGACAAATGGACTTGAGATTCTCCATGTACAGGCTTTCTGTGCCCTGTGAGATAACACAGAACTTTACAAGCTCTATACAGTCAACCCAGTTCTTTTAGCAGCCATGGCAGGCAAGCACACAGGGAATAGTTCCCCAGAGCTAAAGCAGATTCCAGAGGAGGAATCTGAGGCAGCTATTGAATGTCCCAACCCTTCTAGTCACCCTCCAATTGTACCATTAGTTCCTCCATCTCCACCATCTCCAGTATTACCATTCCCCCCCAAAAAACACACACACAATTCCCTCTTAACTCTGTAGGAAGTGCCTGATGGAAATGGTGCCACAAAGGCTCACATTCCCTTCTCATTATAGAACCTTAAACAAATAAATGCAGACTTAGACTTATTTTTTGATGACCCCAATTGGTATATAGAAATTTTCAAAAATTAAACTCAGGTTGTGTGTGACCTCACATGGAAGTATGTTATGTTGCTCCTAACCCATACCCTCACTGCAGCTGAAAAGCAGGCAGTTCTGCTGGCTGCAGAAAAATATGGCGATAAGCAACATGTCTCCTATAGCAGACAAAGGAGAAAAAGAGGAGACAGGGAATATAAAAAAGCAGTGGAAACTCCATTCCCACTAAGAAGAGAAACAGTTCTGGTAGACAACCCTGATTGGAATCCCAATAACTTAGGAGATGAATGGAAAAGCAAGCACTTTTTAAGGTGCATATTAGAGGGCCTACGAAAAACCAGGGCCAAATCTCTCAATTATTCTAAAGTGTCCATGATAGACCAAAAACCAGACAAAAACCCTACAGCCTTTATGGAAAGGCTGAGAGAGGCACTAATAAAACTTACCTCTTTATCCCCTTGTTCAGTTGAGGAACAGCTCATCCTGAAAAACAAGTGTATTACACAGGCAGCTCCTGATATTAGAAGAAAACTACAGAAGTAAGCTATAGGACCAGAGAGCACCCTAGAAAACCTCCTGAGAATAACCACTTTGGTCTTTTGTGATAGGGATCAGGAGGAGGCCCAAGAAAAGGAGAGGAAATACAATCAAAGAACAGAGAATCTAGTAGCAGTGTTGTAAGCTTGCAAAGTCCAGGATCCCTAAGGTGCATCCACTAGCTGTTATCGATGTGGCAAGTCAGGTCATTTTAAGAAGGAATGCCTAGGCAGAAAGATGAAGCCACCTCAACCTTGTCCAGCCTGTGGCAGAGAACACTGGAGATGGAACTGCCCCTGGAGACAGAAGTCACAGGGTTCAGGACCAGTCTCACAGATGCTCTAGAAGGACTGATGGGTCCCAGGGCTCAAGCCCCTGGCTCCAGTGACTCACACTGCTATTACAGCACAGGAGCCCTGGGTGACGCTGGAAATTGAAGGAAGAAAAGTAGATCTCCTGCTGGCTACTAGAGCGAGTCTCTCTTTTCTCCTTTCTAATCCAGGCCTTCCCTTTTCCCATACCACAACCATAAGTGGTGTCTCAGGAAAAACTCTAACCAGATATTTTTCTTAACCTCATAGCTGCAGATTTGGGTGGGACCTATCATTTACACATGCTTTTTTAATCATGCCCAAGACTCCCACTCTTTTGTTAGGTAGAGATATTCTAGCTCGCATGGGGGCCAGCACCCTTATAACCAGAGGGTAAACTCTTCATCTCCCCTGATGGAAACTAATGTCGTTATTCTGGAAGTGTGGGTGACTCAAGGAACAAGAGTTCGAGCTATAACCACTAGGCCAGTCCAGATTCATCTTAAGGATCCCATTTCTTTTCCTAACCAGAAACAGTATCCCCTAAGGCCAGAGTCTAGGAAAGGGCTAGAAGCCATTATTAATAACCTAAAGATGCACCTGGCACACATGGTGACAAGGAGAAGAGTGTGGGAACCACCATGTTTGGTGGACCTGGTTTCTGGTCACTAACATTTGCATATCAATGCTTGGTGATCCGGCTTTTCAAGCTGCTTTCTGTTAGAAAAGAAATGTTTCAGGAGCTGTTTTTATTAAAAGAAAAAGTCTTACTGAGGATTCCTTATCTTTTCTATCTGCCTAAAATAATTTCTTAATAACTCCTGTAATAAGAAGATTCACAAGCTATAAAACTTAGTGTATTTGAATCCTATAAAAGAAAAATTGCATCCAACTAGCTAAACAGGCAAGGGGAACTTTATTGAAGACAACTGCAGTAGAGTAGAGATTGCATTCAACTCAACTGGAACAAAAAACAGGAAGATTTTTAAACTCTGAGTTGACCTAATGAAAAGTACTGAAGGACATTTGGAAGAGGTGGATCAGTGTGATTAGGCCATCTGTGTTTGCTAATTGGCACTCATCATAGTTAGGCTTCTCCTTTTCCACAGAAACTGGGGCATTGGAGCCTATCTTTCTTGATAATTACATTTCAAAGTAATGTCCACCCTCCCCAGATCCTTGAAAGAAACATTCCTAGGTTGTAGAAGATTTACATCTCAAAGGGGGTAAAGACAGAATTTAAAATTGAAATGTCTTTTCTGAAGGAAATGCTCTAAGATAAGGAAGGTCAGGGATCTATAGTTAGGAAGGAACCTATCTAAACTTTAATCAAGTTGAGGTGAACATCAAGGCTGTCTTTGTCAATCCTCAGGGCACTGTGCCCAACACTGTGCCAATAATTGATTTTTAGTTTTGTCAGAGGCAGCATACAACTTTCAGGTGTCAAATACTGTATCAATATTAGAATTAGTTTTTATTTCATACAGCAGAAAAATCATAATTAATAGTGGCTGAAGATACAAGGTTTTATTATGTATTGTTAAAAATCCAGCAATCAGCAATCCAGGGTTGATGTGCCAGATCCACTAATGTGTAAGGAGTCAAGCTCTTCATAGTGTTCTCCATTACTTCCCTTAAGTTTATGACCCTTTTAGCATGATTTAAGATGCCTGCAGAAGCTCCAATCACTCTTCCACTTTCCAACCCATAAAAATAGGAGAAAAAAGGTAAACTAAGGATACCATTCCCTTTAAGGAGATTTTCTGAAAGTTTCACAAACCAATTACACTAACATTCCATTTGTAAAACTTTGTTACACCCAGCTGCAAGAATGAATGATGAAGGTGGTTTTATGAACATAGCCTAATTGTTGGTTCTACTGTAACTGATACACAGATTCAGTCACTTGCCACATGAAGAATCCAATTAACAAGAATGAAATCTGGTATGAACAAAGTGACTTTATTCCAAACTTTAGCTTAGGGTAAAAGGACAGTCTCTTTCCTTTAAGGGCATTGCTTCACTTTGGGGGCAAAAAGCAGGGGATTTAAAAGGGGGATTTGTCATGAGCAGCATGCAGGGCAGAGAGCAAGCAGGTGCAGGGTCTACAGAACTCACTTTGGTGTCTTATCTACAAGGTGGCTGAGCTGGCACCATTGCAGGCAGAGCTACATTGTAAAGTGGCCATCTTGTCGAGATATTCTCCAGGTAGGAGAAAGTTTTCTCACCAGTACACTTTAGGTATTTAACTGACTATTGTTTCTTGAGGCAATCTCCTGGTAGGGGAGGTTCCCAGCCCTGGAGCTTCTAAGTAAGCACATGGTTAGATAAGCTTGCCCTGTAAGGAATGTCTGGTGAAAAGAAGGTAAAGGTTATAATTGCTCTCTAAAGATCTAAGTTAGTGGGAGAACAGGGGAAAGGAGGAGAGAAAAAATAGAAAAAATAGTAATTATTTCTCTTTCTCTTCCAAAAATGGGGTACTCAGTTACACTATTACTGAGAAAGAAAGAACAAATTAGATTTTGGCTAACTCATTCTGATTCGTATTTTAAAGACATGGTTCTCTCTCTCTTTCAAAACATGTATGCAAAATCATGTAACAAAGTACTCATATGTTTCTCTTTCTTTGTTTCTTTTGAATGTATGTTGAATTTAAAAATAATTTTGAGTTATATTAAATAGTGCATTTATGGATTTGTTTTTCATTTCTTTGCGTGTGTGTGTGTGTGTGTGTGTGTGTGTGTGTGTGTGTCACCTTATTGGGGTAAAAGGAACTTTCTTCCTACATCCCAAAGGTTTGAGAATTTGAGTCTATAAGCAAACTGACAACAGACAGATCAGCAAACTTACTAATGTGCAAGTGTATGTGAGTTATACAAATATAAAATTCAAAGAAGGGCCAGATGAGTGAAGCTTAAACACCCTCTTCATATGAGAGAGAGAAGTAGGGAATATAGACAATTTTAAAGAAAAAGTAAGTAATTTTTAGGGGACACGAGTGGGCCTGAAGATCATACAAGAGCCTGGCACAAGGTTTTTCTGGGCTCTGGAAGAGGTGGTGACAATTTATGGGAAGGTGAGTGGTGGAAGTGTGCTGAGAACAAAGATTGTCTGACACAGATAAAGCCTCTCAGGTAACAGCCCTCAGAATAATAGATGGAAAGTTTGTCTGGCTGGGTATAGTGACAATCTTTAGTTTCTTCATATTTAATTAATGTCCCCTCTTTAATGAGGTATCAGACAGGGGATGAAAGGCAATTGTGTTTCTTTTGGAAGAACTTCCTTCATTCCTATAAGGGAAATTCAGAGAGAGCCCCACCCTTCCACTGGGGAGGAAGAAAGGGAAGGTCAGAGACCTTGATTCTGAGGCAGCTTCTAAGGCCTTCCAACTTTCTTTAATTCGTAGTGTTCAGCACGACAAAGTGCCATACTTTGGGGTGTCGTTTTCTATGGGGTGTCATTTTCTGAGCCACAACAACTTTACATACTTATCAATTATTTGTTGTGAAAACACTTAAAATCTCTCTCAGCAATTTTCAAATTCACAACACATTATTATCAACTATAGTCATCATGTTGTACACTAGATCTTTTGAATTTATTCCCCTGAAATTTCACATCCTTTAACCAACATCTCCCCAATTACCCTTGTGGTCCTCAGCCACTGCTAACCACAGTTCAATTCTCTGCTTCTATGAGTTCAGCTTTTTTGGATTCCAAATATAAGTGAGATCATGCAGTATTTGTCTTTGTGTATCTGGCTTATTTCACTGACCATAATTTTATATATATAATGATTTTCAGCTTTTTAAAAGTGTGCTAAATTTGTGTATGGTTTTTATGATGGCATTATATTTTCTTACGACTATATAGCTATTACAAAGTACAAACATTTATTACCTTGAGCAAGAACGAATGTGTTATTTTTAAAATTTAATAGAAGTATTTTCCTCCACATTGTGAAATTCAACCGTTTTAAATTGGCGTTTCTCAAACTTCAATATGAATTTGAATCACTCATGTATGTTATTAAAATATAGACTCTGAGTCAGTATTTCTGAAGTAGAGCCTGAGATTTTTGCATGTTTAACAAGATGCCAGGTGATGCTAATGCAGCTGTTTATGGGCCACACTTTAAACAACAAAAGTGCTAAATAATAACAATTATTTATGAAAAGGTTTAATTTGCACTAGTATCATTTCTGTGTCAAATGTACTATATAATATAAAGATTTTAAGACCCCTTTTCTCATCTAATTCTCTCTGCAATACAATAAATATTTAGTATGTCATTATAATACTATTTTACAGATTAAGAAAATGAGGCTCAGGAACATGAGATGGTTTAAACAAAATCACAGTATAAAATGCGTACGTTGTTAGTTTATAAGAATTGGCTGTGTCCCCACCCAAATCTCATCTTGAATTGTCATCCTCGTAATTCCCATGGGTCAAGGGAGAGATCTGGTGGGAGGTGATTGGTATGGGACGGTTTCTCCAATGCTGTTCTCATGATATTGAGTGAGTTCTCATGAGATCTGATTGTTTTATAAGTGTTTGACTGTTCCTCCTTCATAAACTCACTCTCTCTCCTGAGGCCTTGTGAAGAAGGTGACTTCTTTCCCTTCTGCCATGATTGTAAGTTTCCTGAAGCCTCCCCAGCCACGTGGAATTGTGAGTCAATTAAACCTCTTTTGTTTATAAATTACCCAGTCTCAGGTAGAATCTTTATAGCCATGTGAAAACAGATTTATGTACTATTGATTTTCTAATTGTAATCTATCTCATTCTAGCAAGCAAAAATTATAAGCAAATGAAAATCATGCCACATATTAAAATGTGTTTATTTATGCCAGTATTTTTCTGGTATAATTAATATCTGGTATAATTAATCTCATGTTCCTTCATACCAGGATGGCCTTGAATAATTTTCTTCTATGTTCAAAGAATAAAAATATATTATTTCAGCCTTTAGTAGAACAATATGTGGGTATAGGTAAATATCTCATATATGTATATATACCAGATTTTATGTGTGTATACATATGGAAAAATTATTTTAAATTCTGATATATAACTTAAAATCTTCAATGACTATTGCTGTGCATAATGTAGCAAATAAGACAGAACAATGTATAAAAGAGAGGGGTGAGGGGTTAAAAGCAATCAATGCTAGATCAAGCATGCTGACTGGGCATTGTCTGAAAATAGAGATTCTGTACCTAACATTATTTTTATACATTGGAATTTTAGGATTTTTTCTAATTAATTCTTATCTACTCATTGAGGAAAATGATTTATAAAAGGAATAAGCTTTCAAAGTTAAGTGAATATGCAAGAGCAGAACGACAAATACTTGTGGAACCAAAATTAAAGGCTCACAATAGGGTTAAATTAGAGCTAAATTAGAAAGTTTAAAAATATTTGAATGGCACTATTTTTTTAATCTGGTAATAAAATGAATAGAAAGTAAGTAACAAATGTACATTAATTACTACATATCACTAGAATTAAGACTCTGATAGTGTTTGTCACATTTTTGGGGACAATACTGTCCAGCGTGACATTACTAGGCAACCTGTGTACAAATGGCATCTTACGTGAAATATGGGATCCTGGCTCCCCTTCCATTTTCTCTGCAACATCGCATATCGGTTCTAGGCATCGGAACCTGCCAAATCAGCAGGAACTATGCGTTTATTCGCAAAAGATATGTGTAAAGAAGAAGAGAAAGACAAGTGGGTTGTGTAATCAGCTTTGAAAAGTCTGAACATTTCTAGAGTGGCTGTAGCCACTCTGCAATGAAAGAGAAAATATGATTAAAATTGTCAGCAAAACTATTTTTTGTGGTAAAAGGCTTTCCTTTATTTTTTCTTAATAAAAGACAGTGCAATGAAATAAATAGTTTTAGTATTATATTAGATTTTCAAAATATGACAGTTATATTATACCATTTAAAAGTTGTGCTCCTGGAAATGGGGACTTTTGGATTACAGAATTTTCATTTTTAAAAAATTTCATTTCAGATAGAGTTTATTTTTAAAATTCATACTTTATGTTTCTGACACATGCAGTATTTGAGTTTTGTAGCAGACTTTTAGGTACTGGATAAGTAAGAAATAAGCAGATAAAGAGAACTTTATGTTTAATTTCAAACTATAGATAAACAAGTATCCATAATCAAGTGGACTTATGGACTCACCATTTGTTTATATATACATATGTAAACAAATATATATGTATGTGTATGTAGGTGTGCACATATATTTTAATGTAATTTAATATTACTAATATCATAATTTAACAAACATAAGTTCAGAAACAACTCACTTTACATTAAGATGCAATCTTCAGTATAAAAAATTAAAATATATGTATGTGATATCAGAATACAAGAATTAATGAGGATTATAAATAATAAAAGCCAGGTTTAACATCAGTTTCTAAGTCTTGAGGGGAAAAAAAAGGCTTTTTCCTCTGCTATGAAGGACCTCAACCTATAAATTAGTTCTAAAGCCAGAGAGAATTTCATCTATTTCTTGATACACTGTATAAAATAAATACTAACGCTGTTAATTGTTGAAATCAATCTGGATTTTTGTATTTTTGTATAAATTTGCTTTCTTCTAAGAACATGGATGATATAATTGCATTATAGCACTTTAGGATATTTATTTTCTTTAGAAGAGGTTCTAATCACTCTCTTAATAAGTATTCTAGTTGTTTCCAATTTTGTTCCTGAGGGGTTTTTCTAAATAACTAGCCTATTACATATTTAATTAAATATGTTGGTCCTCAATCTTTAAGTATCTTCACTAAGAATGTATTATTAAATTCTATACATTTGGTTGTACTGATACATTTCAAAAAACTTTTTATTTTAGGTAACATTTTCTTCTTAACTTTCACTAGTTCCACCAATATTCTTCTTACATTTCTGTTTGACATTAGAGATTTCAGTTGATAAGCAGTTTCCTCCTTTCAAATCAGGCAATACTCTCTTTATACATAGATGCACTTCAAATGACCAATTAAATTAAGAACTCATTCTGGGAAATTGGGTGGAACTATTATATAGTGTGGGAGGTTAATACTATGTCGTTGCTGAGAAAATGTCAGAGTTGAGCACATTGTGCTACAACCCTTATTTTGATCAGCAGCTCCGCATGCAAATCTAGGTAATGCTAATGAATATTTACAGGTGATGGGCAAAGGAACATTGGCACTGGGGTAGAAAAGAGACAAAATTGATCTTCACTGTTATTATGAAGAAAATAATACCTGCAACTTAAGGGGAATGAATATAGTGATTCATCTATTCATTCAAAAATATTTGTTTAATATATATATATGCTTCTAAATAATACATGCTTGACCAGGTAATTCTACATCTTAAATCTTAGAAAATATATAAATATTATGTAATAATATAATATGACAAAAATATAGTGTTCATACAATTTCAACCTTAAAGGGACTTTTTTTTTTTTTTTTTTTGACAGAGTCTTACTGTCTCCCAGGCTGCAGGGCAATAACACGATCTAGACTAATTGCAACCTCTGCCTTCCAGGTTCAAGTGATTCTTGTGCCTCAGCCTCCTGAGTAGCTGGAATTATTGGCGTGTGCCACCACACTCTGCTAATTTTTGTATTTTTAATAGAGATGGGGTTTCACTATGTTGGCCAGGCTAGTCTCAAACTCCTGACCTCAAGTGATTCACTCGCCTTGACCTCCCAAAGTGCTGGGATTACAGGCGTGAGCTACTGTGCCCAACGTAAAAGGGGCTTTAAAACAGCAGTCTAATTTAATAGTTTCTTAGGCAGTTGAACAACAAATACCTGAGCAACTCAATAATATTTGTTCAAAGACAGAAAAAGAGGTAAAACTAGTTTTGTCATTTGGGAATAGTCTATACTGCTTTTTTCTCACACTTATTCTCCATGTCTCTGCTTGTGTTTTCAGCATTATCAATTAAAATATTTTACCAACTTTTTTTGTTGTTTATGTCTTTGATTTTACTTGCTTAACTCTTACTCTCACTCTCTATATCATAAACTCCTGTGTAACTTCTCATTCCATTTGTTATCAAAACAGCACATTTTAATTACTTGGACATTTGAAACAAGTTTTTAGTTGAGTAATTTTTCTTTTATTAGTAATATCTTCTAATATTAGAGAAATTATGACATCATATAGGGGAAAAGTTATCTTGTTTATTCTATAAAGGCTTTACTAGAAGCTGACATAAATTTTAATAAAAAGCCTAATCTGGCCAAATTAGTCTATAGTAATCTATTCTACTAATTTTAGATATGATTACACAGGTATTGAATGACTAGTGCTCTTTTTAGCAATCAGATATTTTAATTTCTCATATGAATTTTTAACAACCATGGATGCTTGAGTGAACTCATTTAAAAATATATGAAAGAAAGAGATGCAATTTTTAATGAAATGATAGCCGGTAAAAATGATGGCACTCCTTTTATGTCTGTTATGCAAGGTTAAGTAAGACTGTCAACATATAAAAGTAATGGCCTCAGCAGATTGTGAAAATGGAATGTTAATGCAAGCTTACTCAAATTGTTAAACTAGAAGACTAAGTGCAATTAATTTGAGTGAGTTCTTACCCCAAAAGTGAATAGGATTTCTTGTTTAAAAAAAAAAAAACTGTGCTCCCTGGAGTTTATGCCAACCTTCCAGATTTTGCATATCCAACTGATCATTTTGAATGCACATGACGTGAACTTTTACCCTTACACTTTGTAAAAATATTGGCTTTTCTCAGTCCTAAATCAAGTATAAAATACATTCTTAGAGGATTCAACAAATTATAAAAGTAGCCTCATATGTTTTCCTTATTGGTCTATTTGATCTTTGGCAAAATATTATCTTCTATTAATAATTAGCAGAATTTTAACTTTCTTTGCCAAAGTTGGCATTAGAACATATAAATTATAAATACACAAGGGTGTTTTATGGAGAAGTGTGCAGAAACAAATAGAGAAGTCACATAGGAAACAAGAGAATACCCAGGAAAATAGAAAACAGAAACATTGGGCAAATGTGAAGCAATATTAGTATTAGAGGAACTCATACACCAAAGACTCATAATTCCAGGGCACATCAGTGAGATCTGATAAAAATCCTGTGTTTCAATATACAAAAAAGATGGTCCCACCATAGAATATCTCACTGTGTCTTTTTATGCAATTTTTCTTTTTAGAAATTTAACTATCCATATCGTTAATTGATAAAATCTTAGACCTAATATTTTAAATATTAGTTGAAGAACTTAATAAAAAGAGAAGAATATCTGAAGATTTTACAAGACTATATAATTCATACAATAGCCATTAAAATGTAATGAAATTCTAAACATATTTTTAATTAATTATTCTCTATTGTGTATAATTGATTTCCTCAGGAATGTGCATTAAATATATTACACATAATGTATAATCCAAATAAATATAGACTGTCTACTAATTTTTTACTCTATGTAGGCTAAGACCAGCACCAATAAAATGATACAATAATAATAACTAATGTTTGTTGATTATCCCAGATCTCAAATGTACTAACATTATAAATCTTGACAATGACTTTTGGAAGTTAAGTGGTATTATGTTCTCTGTTTTTTAGATAAAGAAAGAGAGCTATGTAAAGTTTAAGTAACATTTGCATAACTATTATAGTATTATGTCCTAGTAATGGGATATAATCACAAACTAATCCATGCAATAACTACAATATTCTCTCTCCCTCTTCACACACACACACACACACACACACACACACACACACACACATTCTCCTACACAGTGTCTCATCAAAGCAAAAAGCAAATACAATTTCAAGATTGTATTAGTCAAGATAGAATTTACTCAGAGTTTTCATAGTTTTTTTAAAGCTAAAAATAAAGAGAAAAATAACATTTCTTGTGGACAAACATTAAGAAAAATATTAAGTACTATAAATCAAATCAGAAATTAAAAAATTGTTGGTTTATTTCCATTATTCAGGGGGTGAGAATCAGGAAAGAAAGAGAGATGATTCAAAGTAAGAAGTATTAATTCTGATTTTGTACAGACAAGTAATGTTACACTTTTATGTAATTACAATACATTGACTTCCAAATAAAAGGAATGCAAAAATACTAACTGCTACATTGAATTACTTAATAAAGTTTTGAATTGTTTAGCTGTGCTGAGTGGACAAAAAATTTACTCAGAGAAAGCGGATGGCAGAATCAGAAGAAATTGCCACAAGGCAGTTTGGTAGGTCATAGCATATTATCAAATAATCATGTTGCCTTTCCAATGTTTGAAAATAACACGAGTCTGCAGAAAGCATTTTTTGTTTGTTTTTCAAAATTTTATACAAAAGCCAGAAAGACATTTGAGGTGGATATTAGGAAAACCACAAGGGGCAAAATTATTTGAAGCAGGAATAAAACACCTTTAGGAGGGTTCTTATTTCACAATATAGTTTCCTTTCCTCCAAACAACCCCAGGTTGCTGTTGTCCCCATCTGAACTGGACGATTTCCAGAGATTAAATGCTTTTCATTTATTTCCTGATAAGTCTCCCTGAAAGATTCATCTCTGAGTTTGCAGGTGCCAGCTGAAAGCAACAAAATTCCAAGCTGTGGGTAAACCTGAATTACACGGAAATCTCTTCCCTTAATCTCTGTCATCTTTGAACTAGCATTTTTGCCAAATCTGAAGAACCTGTTTCCAAAGATGGCTTCTTCCATATAGTGTAACCAGTTCTATCACATAAAAACTAAAACATGGTCTCTCATTTTCTAATATGGTGAAAAGTAAACATAATGACTATTTTGCTATGAGTTTTCAATGCACACTTTCTCTTAAGGGAGAAAAAATATTAATGTCTTAAAGTAAGCATGAATGTATTTTATATACCATAAGTAGCAGTGAAGTCTTCATTTCCTGTCGAGTTGAAATTTTATTTGACTCTGTCATTTATAAGCTAAATGATTTATAATCATTTATTTCAATTAATTATTTCTTTACTCACCAACAGTTTATTTCCCTATAACACAGATAGAAGAAAAAAACCTTTATTTTAGTTCAAAATCTTTAATAGACATACATTGAGTCAAGTTTTCAAATATGCAACTTGCATCCTTGCAGTTGCTGAGTTCCATAACCAGACATGAGTGATAGCTTTCCAATGTAGTTTTAAAAATGTGAGTTGTTCAAACTGTGGCCTCAGTTATGAGGAGTTTCCCTTGATAATTCTTTCAGATATTAAACCACACTGTTACAATGTCAAGAGATGGTTCTACAATGGATTGCTTTGAGAACAAGAGAAGGAAATGGAAAAATAGAAAATAATTCAAGAGACAAAAGCATGAAACTAAAAGATAAGGAAAACAAGAATATATAGCAGGTACAAAAAAACCTGTTAATAATTGTTATTTTATTTGTTAGTCCATAATTTATAACCACACAATAAACATCTTCTTGCAATTTAGTATGTTTCGGATCTGTAGAACACATTAGAGAAATAAATACATTAAACTGAGAGTTATTTATAAATACTAACTCTATCTTATTACATTTGGAATCAGCATATTATCATTATCACCCTACTGGCATTTAAGTATCCATGTAAACTTACAAATAATTCATCACCCGCAAAACATTCCCCAAAGAACCTATTACTAGCAGCAACTTACAGATGATTATCCTAAGTTTTAATTACTCAGGGTAGTGTCAAAATATACATCAACTTTAATTTAAATGTATATTTATTGTATAACTCGATAATTTTACTCAACTTTTTATCCCTATCTGGAAACCTCCTTATGATAAAGCACTTACTCAAACTGTGTGATCTTTTATAGCATATCCCTATAGTATTAGTTGTAGTAATTATATGTTGTTGCTAAAGATAAAAACCTATATCTCAGAGGGATAGCACAATTCATATCAGAATTTACATCAGGAAGTAGTTCTCTTCCACCTGCGTTTTCAGAATTAAGGCTTCTTCTAGCTTGTGACATTGATAATTTCAATATTCAAGCTGCCTAAATTTATTTTGCACGAAATAATGGAAGGAGCCTGCAAGTGACACTATCTCTTCTTCTCACATTCTGTCGGCTGCAACTCAACCACATGGTGATATCTAACTGAAGAGGAGGGTGACAAATGAGGGCTTTTGTTTTCAGGAAGAAGGTAAAACAATTGGTGAAGAGATATTTAATCTTTTTCTGATAATCAAAGCTCCATTTAGCTCTTTGTCATACAAATAGAATATATTTAGCCTCTCCTAAAAGGAGGGCAACCCCAAGTCACATCTAATCTTAAGATATATCAAAGTGTCAAATCCTTGCTGTTCCATATTAGGAGCCATACAAACTTTCTTTATTTCTGTTTAATTTTTCTATTGATCATGATAGAAAAAGTCACATAAATTTTATTTTCCTACCATCCTCAATTTAATATGAAAGTATACTTGATATCTTTTGGTTGATAATGAAGAAAGTGGTTAGAATTCAAATGCATTTAATTTTAGTTTATCCTCAGATCTGTTGTTAACCAACATGAAGAATCTGAATTTAATCTAAAAGCCAGCTTCTGCACACAATGAGCATCCATCATAATTTCTTAAATAATTTTTATAATAGCCATAATAACTTGCCCTTTATTTTTAAAAATTAAAAAAAGAGATAAACATGGAAAGCAGAGACTCTTCTCATTTTAACTACTTTGTTCTATAGAAAATCTAAATTTTCTTGAGAAATTTATATTGCTTAGGGAGAGAAAATTTATGTTGCTTTTATATTTAACATTTCCCCAAGCATATAATTTCTTTTTCTTTGTTCCTTGGAAACATTATGACAGGGAAAATGTTAACTGCAAAAGAGATACAACAAGAAAAGTGGAAAGGCTCACAAAATATTATTCATTAATATATGGCTTGTTTTAAAGTCATTCTTTGAAGAGAAAGAAAAACAAAAATTTTTAAACATAATGGGATTGGCTTTTTTTTTCCTTGCTGTCTTTGGCATGTGCCTGTCCCAGGACAGCCCATGCTTTTGAACCAGCATCATTTTTCTGCTTTTCCTTGAAATGATCAGGTTTTATTTTTTTTTTTTTTGTCTCATATTTTTGCTTATTTCCCTGTAGCACTTAAGGGAATTTAAATGAAGACATTATAATAATTTTCACCCTTCAAAACTCATTTCCAATAGATTCAGTACCCATTAAAATGTGATACAAATATGCCAAATGACATTTCTGTCTATTCTTTTTCTAATTTACATGAAATGTTCTTTTTTCAAAAAAAAAAATCCTTTATTCACCCGTGCCAACATTTTCAGACATAAGAAACATCAAGAAATAAACTTAAGATCATATTAAGCATTCAACTGCAAGAACCATTTTATAGTTTATTTGTTTTAAATATAATCACCCCCTTTTTCACACTAAATATTTAAAGGATGTTTCTGAATCATCTGGGACTTTCAGGTAATAATTGTAAACAATAGGTTATTTGTCTTAAAGCCTGAAAATAAGATTATTTAACTTTTACCTTAATGAAGCAGCAGTGGATGATAGAAATATTATTCTAACTGTATTTCAGAGACTTGTTCTATTTTTTTGTGAAGGATATCTGACAAAAGACTCTCATGATCAAAATGACAGAAAAATAGTTTTAATAAATTCATGTCTTTCTCTGACACAATTTACCCATATAACAAACCTGTACATGTACCCCTTAAACCTAATAAAAGTTGGAAAAGAATTGTCTTCCTCTGAAATTTAAAAATAGTACCTTAAGATTTATGGAATACCTAAAAAACATACTTTCTCCTTTGACTAATATGAGCTATACATTGATTCTATCTGAAGGTACAATACAAAAAAACTGGTAAGCTATATATAATTCTATGGAGGAGCCTACAATAGGTGAGGAGAGATGGGCATAGTAATAGGCAAATTATTATGAGCCTTATGAAATAAAGGAAAACTAGCCATATGAAAGAGAGCAGTAAATATGAAAAGTAACCCCTAAGCTTCCTCTTGAAAGATGAATTGTTTTAAATTATTTTTTTATTTTTAATTAGTAATAACTACATATATTTATGGGGTACAATAAGATATTTTTATATACGTTTGTAATGTAGAATAATTAAATCAGGTTACTTAAGAAATCCATCACCTCACATACTTATCTTTTTTTGTGGTCAAAAACATTTACTTTTTCACAATTTTGAAATATACAGTGCATTATTATTTATTATACTCACCTTTCTGTACCATAGATTACTAAACCTTATTTCTTCTGTTTATCTGAAAATTTGTACTATTTAATCAAAATCCCCCTTTCTCCCATTCACTGCACCCTGACAACCTGTGACAAACACATTCTATACTTCTATAAGTTCAACCTTTTAATAACATACAGGTCAGATTACTCATTATTAGTTTTTTGCGCCTGGCTTGTCTCACTTAATGTAATGTCCTCTAGGTTGATCCATGTTGTCTTAAATGACAGGATTTTCCCCCTTTTAAAAGCGGAATAGTATTGCATTTATATATATATATATATAATATAAAATATATATATATATATATATATATATATAAAACATTTTCTATATTCATTAATCTTATGATGTCCACCTAGGATGCTTCTAAGTTTAGCTATTATGAATGGCTAATGCTAAGGCCGTGAACATAGGACTGCAAATATCTCTTCAGTATATAGATTTTGATTCCACTTCTAAGTACATACAGAAGTGAGATTGTGGGATTCTATGGTAATTTTATTTTTAGTATTCTAAGAAATGTCTATACCGTTTTCCTTAATGGCTTTACTAATTGACATTCCCTCCAATAGTGCACAATTGTTCCCTTTTTCTAGACCCTTGACAACACTTGTTATCATTTATCTTTTCAAAAATAGCCATTCTAACAAGTGTGAAGTGATAGCTCATTGTGGTTTTAATTTGCATTTCCCTGATGATTAGTGATGAGTATTTTTTCATATATCTGTTGGCCACTTGTATGTCTTCTTTTGAGAAGTGTCTATTTAGATATTTTGCCCCTTTTTAATTCAGTTGTTTTCCTGCTGTTTAGTTTTTATATATCTTAGATAATAGCCCCTTATCAAATGTATAATTTAGAAGTATTTAGAAGTATATTCTCCCAATATATAAGTTGTCTCTATACTCTGTTAACTGTTTCCTTTGCAGTATAGAAGCTTTTTAGTTTGATGCAATACCATTTGTTTATTTTTACTTTTGTTGCCTGTGCTTTCGGAGTGATATCCAGGAAATCTTGTAGATGACACAAAGAGATGGAAAGATATCCTTGCTAATGGATTGGAAGAATTAACGTTATTACAACATCTGTAACAGCAAAATTGATCTACAGATTTAATGCAATCCCTACCAAGTTCCAATGTCATTGTTAATGCAAATAGAAAACACTATCCTTAAACTTGTTTGGCAATATAAAAATCTTCAAATAACCTAAGCAATCTTAAGCAAAAAACAAAGGAGAAGGAGTCATACTACCTGGCTTCGAAGCTATCATAAAGATATAATAATCAAAATGACATGCTGCTGGCATAACAACAGACAAACTGACCAATGGAACATGATAGAAAGTCCAGAAATAAACCCATGCATTTGTGGTCATTTATTTTCAAGAATAGTACCGAAAACACACAGCAGAGAAAGGATAATCTAATCAATACAAAGTGTTGGGAAAACTGGATATCCAGGTGAAGAAGAACAAAATTAGACCCTTATGTCATGCTATACACAAAAATGAACTCAAAATAAATTGAAGACTTAAACCTAATACCTGAAATTGCAAAGTTAATAGAAGAAAACATAGGGGAAATGCTCTGTGATGTTGGGCTGAGCAAGGTGGATAGTTTTTTACTTAACTTGATTAGAGGTAAAAAGCCGTGCCAAGAAAAGCAAGTGTTGAGAAGAGTGATAGAAAGCAATAAAAATAAAAATACATATAAACAAAATATTCTTGTGTATTAAGAATGTAAAAGATGGAGCATACCTAGGTGTGCAGACTGTGAGGAGATGTGTGACAAAGATTCGTGGATTATTAGGCCAGTACCTTTGCTGTGTCCGTCTCTCCTTTAGGCCTAAATTGTATAAATGTTAATTCTGGCTGTATTCTTCCACACATACTAGTCCTAGAGTATGGTTATTACACTCATTTCTTCATGTATACATCCTACTCCTCTAAATTAGAGATTATCACTCTGTCTTCTCTCATTGCTTTAAGCATCTTTGACTCTAGTTTAACAACTATGTATTCTTTAATATTTTAATTTATACTATGCTCTTTTTCTTAACATTTTTAAGTAGACTTTAAGGGATGATACTTAATTTGTATTGCCATAACAATATATTAAATACATACCAGTGTTTTAATAAAGTTTTTGTGGTAAAAGCATTTAGATTAATAATTTAGACCTTCTTGCTAAATTTTTGCTTTCTGATGCTAGAATACCAGTAATAGAATAGTAAGTTGAGTGATCTCCTTGTCAGAAACTGCATTCAGTTCATTGCTAGTGTAACAAATTACAACACATTTGCCAGCTTAAAACAATACCATTTTATAGTGTTACTGGTGTGGAGATCAGAAATCTGAACCAGTCTTGCTGAACTAAAATCAAGGTGCTGGATAAAATTGTATTCCTTCCTAGAAGCTCTAGGAGAGAGTACATTTTCTTGCCTTCGTTTCTAGAGGGTGCTTTATCTTTGTCTCATTACCTTTTTCTCCATTTTCAAAGCCAGCAAGTGTGGATCAAGTTTTTCCTCAAATTGCATCACTCTGATCTTGCTTCAAGTTCCACATCTCCTTTAACTCTTCAGCCTTCCTCTTCTACTTTTAAAGACACTTGTGATAATACTGGGCCCCTCAAATAAGCAAGAATGACTCCCTATCGTAAGGTCAGCTGATTAGTAATCTTAGCTAGGTCTGCAACCTTAATTCAAATTTGCCACATAACCTCATATATTCACAGGTTCTGGGGAATAGTGTGCAGATTCCTAAGATAGGACATTTTAGTGAGTTTTTAAATTTCAGGATCAATTCCAATTGATATTTGACTTCTTTCCCTCTAGAGGTATTTCCAAGAGAGTCAATCTGAGCAAAGAATAAATAAACATAATAATAAACATGTAAAGAAACACATTCATTGTAATTTTGATTTCTAATTATTTTTCCTTTTGTTTAGAATACACATATTATAATTTTTTAAAGACTTTAACATTTGTTTTTCATATGTTTCTATTGGTTTATATGTTGGTTTCTATTGGTTTCTATTGGTTTCATATGTTCTATTGATAGTGAAACTACTCAAATTTGAGAAGCATATTAACAGACTTACTTTACTCCCAAGACTAATTTCTAGATGTTTAATGATTATTTCAATTCCTCTAACTCCTATGAAGTTATTGACCTAGGTGAGTCATCTTTTTTTTATCTTATTTGAATATAATGGGTACATATACAGAAAAATATAATTTTTATTCTTAGTATAGTTGTTATTTTTTTTCTATAGCAGGGATTTATTTTTTTCTCTTCTACCCCATGTCCAAAAAATATTTCCAGGAAATCTAACATGATTGATTTGTCAAACTTAGTATTTACATAAGCTATCTGCTTAGGGACAAAATATTTTCTTGGGAAGAGCTCATCAAAATCAAATAACAATTTAAAGTATTCTTGAGAATTTGGTTCATTAGTTGGAGGTCCTTTGGTATAAAATAAATCACGTATAAAAATATTTTGAACAATTCTGAGATTAAAGGAAACATGAGAAATAGTCAAGAATAGCCTCCCTCTCCCTAAAAGAAGCAAGCTATAAGTATATTCTGGACCTGGAAGAAGTGGTCATTAGCAGTAGAAGGGGCAGGATTGCCAAAAAAAGCTGAAGAGTGTAGCCAGGATGAAGAAAAATTATCTCAGAAGGATGGTTTAAGATGCAAGAAGTCAGATTACATAAAATGGTAAATATGTATGCAAAGGGAAAATAAAATGATAATATCTAATTTGTTTAATTAGAGATGTAATAATTAAAATATTCACAATAATAGAATATATATTAGAAATTAGGAGATTTAAAGTGTTTGAAGTTCTTTGCATTTGGGGAATAAAAAACATATTATTATGAGCTCAATCTTCTCCAAATGTTCTTAATATTCATGCTACATAAAAACAATTTGAGTTACATGCATTTTGGAGAACTTGACACAATTATTCTAAAATTTAAACGGGAAATGATCTCCATGAATAACCAAGTCCACCAGAACAAAAAGAAGAGAAAAACAGACACATAGTAAGCTAATTTTATATGCAGTTTGAGAAGAGAAATTCCTCAGAGTAGTCAAATGTCTTCTGAAGAGGAAAAATTTAAGGGTCATATCCTATCTGATGTGAAGACATATTATTGAGTTATTTTCTTTAGAGTGCTTTTGGCAAAATAATAGAAAAAAGTAAGATAACATCATAGAAAACCTAGAAATAAACCCAAGCTTATGTAAGTACTTGATATGTAACTAAAGTGGTATCGAAGACTTCTTGATGAACTGAGAGAACTGTTCAATAAACGAGCTCCAAAATAATAGTTCTCTATTTAGGTAAAAGAGGACAATTAATTCCAATTATGAACCTAATAATCAGACATAAATGAATCAGCTAGAGAAGGATAAAGTCTTAAAATGTGAAAAGAAAATTATCTTAAAACTTTGTAGAACAAATGTAATGAAGAATAATTATAATTCCTTAGGTACAAATTTCTTTGACAAAACACAAAAATTGCACTAATCACAAAAGAAATGCTAATAAATGTAACTGTGTTAATACTACATATCTGTATTCATTAAATAGCATCATACAATGATGAAAATATTAGCCAAAAACTGACAGAAAGAATTTGTAACACATATAGTTATACTATAGAATATTTATACACCAAGAAAATGACATCTGCAAGTGACAAATATGGGGTAATTCTCAGAAACATAATAATGCACTTTAAGTTCAAGGAGACCATACATAGTACATCAGTTTGTAGCTTAAAATAAGCAAAAGAAACAAAACTAAATGCCTTAAGTACATATATATATGTGTATATATATATGTGTGTGTGTGTGTGTATATATGTGTATATATATGTGTGTATATACATAGTTTTTTCATGGAAACTCACAGACATAAAAGGAATTATAAAAATTCAGATTAACATTTACCTCAGCAATGAGGTAGAGGGATTGCTAGAAGATCACCCATAGCTATACAAAGGGTTTGATCATATCCTTGTTCTTGCATTGGTAGGCAGTTTCACTGGTCATTCTATTATTATGTGTTGTTTAAAATGTACATATATGTTGAAGGTATTATTACATTTGTACCAAATAAGGCCAGGCGCAGGGGCTCATGCCTGTAATCTCTGCACTTTCGAAAGTCTCAGCAGGCTGATTGCCCGAGCTCAGCAGTTTGAGACCAGCCTTGGCAACATGACAAAACCCCGTCCCTACCAAAAATACAAATATTAGCCAGACATAGTGGACTGTGCCTGTGGGTCCAGCTACTTGGGAGGCTGAGGCGCGAGAATCACGTGAGACAGGGAGGAGGAGGTTGCGGTGAGCTGAGATCGCACCACTTGCACTCCAACCCGGGAGACAGAGCAAGACCCCCTTTCAAAACAAAAATAAAGAAATTAAAAAATATATTTAAACCAAATATTTTATTTTAAAAAATAAAATAAATCTGAAGAAAGTTATGAAATTCAAGAAATAAATATATTAAATGGTACTCTTAAAGTACCTGAAAAAGTAAACCTCAGAATATTTTGATGTAAACTGCATATGGTTTATATATAGAAAAACAATATGTATAAACAAGTTCTAGCCTTTGAAATTAAGAACAAAAAATACATTATTTGAGAACCTAAGTAATGTTTAACATATTAAGATTTCTATTAATTCATTTTTCTTTTAGATTGATAGATTTATTTATTTATTTATTTATTTATTTATTTATTTATTTTTACAGTTTCTTCTTCTTGTGCTACCAATGAGTATTGTCCAAGGTAGGGATGATTTAGGGGGTCTCTTATCAAAAGCATGGAACTCACATATGATCCTTTCCACATACATTCAATGAAGAAGTCTCAGTCCCCATAGTACTCAGTTTTTGGTTGATGTATTATTCTTGCAGTATTCAATACACAAAACAAAAATTAAATAACTTTTTGCCATCTTCCACTTAAACGAGATGCATTTTATTAAAGGCATCTGATGAAAAATATGTCCAATCTCCCCATAAATGTAAGTGAAGAACATATTCTAATATTAGATTTGTTCATTTCTCATTGCCATTTGCTCAATTATATTTACATACAAACATATATACACATATGTATAACACATATACACATATAACACATATATACATATATTTGTATTTCATATATGTTAATATATAAAATGAGAAAATAGGAAATGTCAGAAAATGTTGTTCGGTCAAACTTTCAGCATTTTTATACATACCTATAGAGTTAAAACATTTTTTATTATGGAGTATGGTTTTTATCTATACTAATTGTTTTTACCAGAAATATTTTTCTTATATTAATATAAATATACCAGTTTTTCTGTTATTAGTATTGTCTTGTACATTGTACTTTATTTTGTATTTACAAACACTGTCTTTACATTTTATATGCATATGGAATAAAAATGATTTATAAGTTTATTTTGTGTGTGTTTTAAAATATAATCTAATGATTTTTGTCTTTTGATTAGAAAGTTTAATCCCCTTACATAAATGTGACTACTGATGTATTTAGATTTATTTTCACCATCTTACATAGGCAGTCTTCATATTTTTTCTATTTTTTCACTTTTGTTCATTCTTGTATTCCTTTGATGTGTTTTCAATTCTTTTCTCCTCTATCATACTCCTCTAATGTCCTGTTGTTGAGATGGAAAATGCTAGTCAACAATCTATTCACAAGTTATTGTTTCATTCTTTAAAATGTTGTAAATAAAACTTTCTGGCTTTTTAAGATCTTATATTTGTATTTAATGTTCTATAATTTCAGTAAGATGTATTTGGTTACTTTTTTAGAAATTTAACCTTTTTTTGGATTGTAATTACTGACTTTGCGTATGATTTATGGGGAAATATTAAGTTATAATTTCTCCTTATTTCCTTCCTTACTTCTGATTAGATGTACATCAGAGCTGTCACACTCTGTCTTATCTTTTACCCTTGCTTTCATTTTTCCCCATCTCTTCTCGGAGATTACTTCACACACGGCATGTGATGAGCGCCCTACATTCCTGCAGTTCAGTGGCTGTATGACCATAGGCAGCACGGCCTGCTTTTTTGCTGACCTTTGAATAATCCAATTATATTTGTTGAAAATTCATTAAAGCTTTCTTCCATTGTTTAAATATTTTCTTCAATGTTTTCAGTTATGTTTTAAATATTTGGATAATCTCTTGAATAATTTCTTGGATCAGCTTGCTTAGTTTTACCCCTCTTGTTTCTTACACATATTTTAATTCCTGTCTTTTGCTTTTTAAATGTATTTAAACTATTTACTTTATAGTGAGTGAGTGATAATTTCATTATGTGGGCCTTGGTTAGTCTCATTCTATTATTGGTCTGCTTTATGTTACTCATGGTGCTGTGCTTTCTCTGAATTTGGTCATTCTTGACTGTGAGCTTCTATTCTTTTATATTTGAGAATAAGGCCTGGTTTGATGGTAATTTTCATTTGTAATAGCTTATGTTGTTGTTCAATGGGCTCCTCCGATACAGCAATGCATTCATTATACTCTTACAAATAATCCCAGGCCAAATTGTATGAATCTGAGCTGCAGAACTGCATGAAGTCTATTTTGAGCTTGTAATTTCTCAAGGGATAATGTCTTTCTCACTCTACAGAACCAAATTCATATCAGGCAATTTTTAAAATTTTACCTTCTCAGGAGTAAGTTTATTTCTATTTCACCTTTTCACAAAGAGTAGAAACATTTTCATGCAGAATTCTATTAAACTCCAACTTAGAGTGAAACCTCTGGGTTTTTCTCCTGTCCTTTGCATAACAAGTGGCAGATAAAACAGAAACTGAAGTAACCAGGATTTTTAACCTGCTCTGAAGCAAATGAACTTGAGTGCTTTCTTACCTCTCAGGATTAGCAATTTCACTTTACATTTAGTTTCTGAGGATCCCTTAGTTTTCGCCAGCTCATCTATGCATACATAATTTTATCCAGTATGTTTAGTTGTCTGCATGTGAATTCATAAAAGTATTTCAGATCTCTAGATTTGCATAATGCCAGACATAGAAATATAGCTTGTGTTGGTGATATCAAACTTATGTATTATTATGAACCTTTTACAGCTACATTCTTTAATTTTCTCCATTGGCATACATAGTCATTTTTAATATCCACCCCCCAACATAAAAGTACAAGTGTCATAAGTCTGCATAGAATTTTAGTACTTATAACAAGAATATAGAAATAATTGTGTATACAAAAGAAAATAAATATTTGAATTTTATACTACTTAAGGAGAAATAAAATAAACCAGGAATCATTAAAGTTATCATTGTTATCCCAGGATCCTTTCTTTTCATTGATTTGCTTTCATTAACCAATATGTGGCTGATTTTTCCTCCTTTGGTTACTCTAATTATAACTGAACCAAAATGGCATCCATAATATTAGGTTGCTTAAAAATATTCAACTAGCTATTTTGTGTGCTTTATCAACAGAACTGATTTGTCACATTACAATTCGTTCAGTGATTGAAATAAAAATATCAATACTGGTGGATATTCATATTCTCTTCTCAGAGGTTTTTGAAACAGTGAAACTCCATCTTGAATAGGGACTGGGTGAAATAAGGCTGACACCTACTTGGCTGCATTCCCTGGACGCAGGAGGTTAAGACACTCTTAGTCGCAGGATGAGATAGGAGGTCGGAACAGGGTACAGGTCATAAAGTCTTTGCTGATAAAACAGGTTGCAGTAAAGAAGCTGGCCAAAACCCACCGAAACCAAGATGACCACAGTGGTGACCTCTGGTCATCCTCCCTGCTCATTATATGCTAACTGTAATGCATTAGCATGCTAGGAGGCACTCCCACCAGCGCCATGACAGTTTACCAATGCCATGGCAATGTCAGAAAGTTACCCTATATGCTCTTAAAAAGTAAAGGAATCCTCAGTTCCGGGATTTGCCCACCCCTTTCATGAATAATCCACCCCTTGTTTAGCAGATGATAATCCAGAAGTAACAATAAATATGCTTGGTCGAGCAGCCCATGCCACTGCTCTGCCTATGGCATAGCCATTCTTTTATTCCTTTACTTTCTTAATAAACTTGCTTTCACTTTACTTTATGGACTCTCCCTGAATTCTTTCTTGTGCAAGATCCATGAACCCAACCTTCTCTTGGGATCTGGATCGGGGCCTCTTTCTGGCAACAGCATGATATGCACGTGGAAATATAATAGGAATGCATATGTTACACTAATTACTCAGTAGAGAAAGCAAATAGCACACAAAGAGCAAAATATGCTAAGCTAGTCAAGCAAGGGGTCAAGTATTTGCATAAGTTTTAGTTGTCTATCTGGTCTTGGAATGGATTAGCTTTTGACAACCACAAAGCTTAATGCTATTCAGAGTAATTATTCAAACATTCCACCCTTGCTCAAAAATCAATCTTAAACAGATCTAGGCATTTTAATATTCATTAGAAGGGGTCTGTTTTGAAGTTTACATGTGGTTTCCTTTTGCCTAAACCACATTTTGTGAATTATCCCCTTTGTAACACTTTGTTTAAATTTCTCTAACTAAGATGTAGTCTTTGTTCCTTTTTTGAGACTCAGGCATAAGGAATGCATGACTAGAATTTGTAGTCTTTGTTCCATTTTGAGATGCAAGAGTACAATTACATTGATGTCCATGGATAAAAAAGAACTGGTAGCATAAAAATTTTATTTTTTTTGTTTATTTCTTTTTTCTGCTTTTTTAAAAAAGATACATATACTTGATATCTTTTTTGACTAATGGGAAGGCAAGGAAAAAAGAAACCAGAGAAACCTTCGAGATTTAGAGTTTCAGAGAATTCCCATTTGAGTTTGTTTTATACCATGAGTAAAAATATGTACAGAGAAACACATATAACATTCAACATGTACACAATGTTTCAAACAATAAATACACAATATTTGAATACTTCAAGACGAAAAATATATGAATCCTTCAGTGCAGAGAAAAAAAACAACTAAAGTATGGTTTTACATTGTGGCTAATCTCTTCAGGAAGCAGAAAGAACAAAGAAGAAAGAAGAACGATGATCAAAAGAAAAGACTCTGGAACCAGAGAACCTGGATTAAAATAGAGGCTCTATCATTTATTAACTGTGTAACTATGGGCAGCTCACTTTACTGTACTGTGTCTCAGCTTCCTCAGCTGTCAAATGGAAATAATAATTCCTACTTTTATAATAGGTCTTTGTAAAGCCTTTAGAAGGTAATTAATACATACTAGCATATAAAAGTGTTTATTATATAAATGAATAATAAGGAATGAAGCAGGAGAGGACATGAGGTAAACTTATGCATCCCCTTAATATCAAGGTTAATTTAATTCTGAAGAAAATAAAGAGCCTTTTAAGGGACTTAATTAAGAAAGTAGTATTATCAAACTTAGAAATGTTTGAAAAGTCACTTGTGACTACTTGTGACTGATGAGGTCAATAAATCAGAAGAATACATTTAAAAATATACCCTATTTTGGAGATTTTTACAGAGGAGATGAAGGACAAAATTTAAATATGTTTAGAGAAAAAAATATATGATTTAGTAATTGACTAGCCATAGGAAGTAGAAGAGAGAGGAGAGGCGGTAGTCTGAGTTGTCTAAAAGTTTTAAGTAGATGATGGTGTGATACACTTAGATGGACAAAATGAGAGTAAGAGCAAGCATAGCTTATGTTTGAAGATATGGCAGTTTACTGAGTCTCCAAATAATAAGGTAAATATTCAAAAATGTTAATTTATTCACATTTATGGGATTAAAACTTCAATATCCTTTAAATAGTTTATTGTTGAAAGATTAACATTTTTATATAAAATATTGCATACTAAATAATTTAAGCTGAACCAATTATAAGTTTAGTACATTAAACTCCATATATTTTAAAAATACATGAGTATAAAGAGATTGTTTTACTTTATTCTTATTTTAAACTATAGTAAGTTTATCTTTTTAAAGTGATTTTTATTTTGCTATACTCTCAAATTTTTTTGTCATACGTAGTAATGGCAAGTAGAAAAGTTATAGCTTGGAAATCACGATTTTTGACAAGCCAGGATAAAAATGAAGAGAACATTTAACTATAGTAAGGCTTGTGAAATGACATTTCTTTTTAAAATAAAATCAAATTCCAGTTGTAGAGGTAACCAAAAAAATAATATTGAGCTTTGATTAACATTCCAACCTCTAGGTAGCAGTATTACAAAAGATTTTCTTGTAGACCCTATGTAGACACTCTCTTTATCTTGAAGCACTCCATCTTTTTTTTTTTTTTTTTTTTTTCTGTCAAGTTTCTCTTTTCCTTTTCTTCAGGCTGAGAGTTCTTCAAAAGAATGTGTATGCAATCTGACTGTTATATCAAACACTTCTGGTAAGAGAACATGATAATTTCTGTAAACCTATGTAAAAAAGAGTATAGAAGTGTCAGGTCTGAGGTCTGAGGGAAGTCAGTGGGTGAGTGGTGGGTAGCTGGAAAAACACTTGGAAAATTGTAGACAGTTTCAACATGGCTTTACTCTCTGGGCACAAGCAAGCCATATGTACAACATTGGCCCAACCTTAAACAGCCTATATTCTTACTGCATAAGTCTATAACACAATATTTTGTATCAAAGTGGTTGGAGATATCCTCACATCATTTTATTTTTTGCTGTGAAACTGTATTTCCACCACCTTATCAGGTTCTAACTGACATCCAAGAGGAGTTGGGCAAGTGGTGGGTAGCTGAAAAAACACTCGAGGAATCACAGACAGTTTTGACATGACTTTACTTTTTCTGTTGGTGTGAGAATCATATGTACAGCTTAGGCAGGATAATTATACCTTCTACAGACAACAGTGGCTTTGAGCCAAGCACAAGCTCATGTGGGTGATTACCTAATTCGCTTCATGTGGTGTGGTTACATAATGTGCCTATGTGGCATGGTTACATAACATGCAGAGTTGTGTGCCTGCACTCCAAACCCGCTGAGTCATGTTGGACCAGATGTCTGCCTTGGCCTATTCTTGACCACAGTACATCCATTTTTCTTACTCTACCCTCTAGGCTGAGGGAGACATAGACCTGCACACACAAGTCTGACATAGAGGCCTGATACATAGGCTTTGGACTCCCAAGCTCAACACAGGCTTGATACATAAGTCTGGGCATACAAGCCCAACACACAGGCTTAACACATAAGCCTGACACATAAACTCTGGGCACACAGGCCTGATACACAGGCTTCACATACAGGCCCCAGACACACAGTTCTGACATATGTGGGCAACCACCCATGGTGACTTTATCCCAATATTGAATATTACTTTATATATTAAAGCCAGGTTTTTTGTTCCCCTATCTTTAGGGGCATTGGGGCAGGCCCCATTGGCTGTTCATGATCTACCTTCTGACAGACTACTGGGCTAGCCCGCAATGGAGGTTCTTCCTCCTTGGTATCAGACTGAGTGGGGGGTCTCTGGCCAAGATGATGGACCCAGGCCTGCATTCACAGCAGCTTCTAATTCCTTTTCCAAGCTCTGCAGCTGGCCTCCAGGTGCCCCGCTTGCCCCTGAAGGTCCCCATTTCTGGTAACTTCTCACTATATTTCTGAGCTGTGTAGCTGGGCCTCCAGACACCCAACCTGTGCCTGAAGGGCCCTTACCTGTGCTCCATCCCTCTGAGACTGGATGTGCACTTCATGTAGTGTAGTCAAAAAAGCCCATCCAACCCTTCCAGTAAAAGCTCTGCACTTCCAGATGCTTCAGCACCTTCTCCTTGCTTGCAAGGGAAGCATCTACCACCACCCAGGTTTCCACCAGATCCCATCTGAGCAGCATAGCTTGGGATCCTGTTTGTGACACCAATTGTCAGGTTCTAACTGAGGTCTGAGGGGAGTTGGTGGGCAAGTGATGGGTAGCAGGAAAATCAGTCGAGGAATCATAGACAGTTTCAACATGGCTTTACTCTCTCTCTCTCTCGGTATGGGCAAATCATATGTACAGCTTTAGCAGGGTAATTATACTTTTTACAGATAATAGTGGCTCTGAGCCAAGCATGAGCCCATATGAGTGATCGCCTAATGTGCCTCACGTGGCATGGTTACATAATGTGTGGGATTGTGCACCTGCATTCCAAACCCACTGAGTCATGCTATGACAGAAGTCTGCCTCGGCCTACTCCTGATGAAAGTGCAGCCATTTCCCTTACAGGATCTATGTGACAGCATCACTTATTTTGGATACAGTTACTGCATAGTCCTTATAGCTTTCTGTGTGTAAAGCAAAAATAAAATTTGAAGCCCCTAACTGACTAAATAGATCCCCTCTTTCAGCCAAAGGGATTTAAAGAAATCTGAAAAAGTAATTCAAGTCATGATGGGAAGGGAAGTTGTTTCGACAGGCCTAATTATACTCTCCACCCTTTAGAGTTTAGGCCCAGCTGACCAGCATAAACATTAAAATAGACATCTTAAGACTGACAAAACAGACTCTTTGTAGCAATAAGATATCATATTCCAACCTGACTCTACTATAACATCACAAGACAGATAAAAAAGGAAATCAAGATATTTTACTCCAAAATATGTTTCTTTGCCACATTTTGAAGTGGTCCTGTAAATCATCTTTGGTAAGGAAAAATTTGCCTCTATAAAGAATCTCTGTTAACATAACTAGATCTTTTCCCTTCCAGACTCTCCCAATCTGAAGAGATTAACTGAGAGTATAGCATGTTTTAAAGGTCTACATATGAAACATTTGCCATCTATTGTCTCCAAGAGTAGCCACATATGGGACTTCATGTACACATTAAGAACCTTGGTTTCCACAACCCATTATCTTAACCTAGACACTCCTTTCTATTGATTACAGGTGTTTAGAAAATAACTTCCAACCAATTGCCAATAAGAAAATACTTGAATCTCCCTGTGACTTGTAAGCCCCCACTGTTCCCCCTTACTCGCTGCTTTGAGTTATCTTGCCTTTCGGGACAGAACTAATGCATACCTCAAATGTATTGATTGATGTCTTATGTCTTCCTAAAATATATAAAACCACATTGTAACCCAACTACCTTGGCTGAGAATTGGCTTTTTAAAATCAACTATGATAAGCATAACACTAAGCAAAAATGTGGGAAAAGCATTAAAGAGGTTAATCTCTTTAGTGTAATACTTACATTCTTTTCCTTCAGTTTAAAAGAGAAAATCAAGTTTAAAAATACACACAGACACACACACACACACACAAACACTCATTAGCAATTCTGATCCAAGTAAAAATGTAAATTTCTGGAGATATTTGAACACAACAATATTTGTGGAAAAAAAAACAAAGAAAACTAATTATGTGGACCTTAAATATAATAAACAGATAAAGTAGATAATGGAGGTAGAAACCACAATAAGAAATGGAGAATGATATCTGGAAATTTAACTCCCATGAAGAAATGAAAATGAGCTTAGTACACTTGTGTATGGCAGAGTATTTCACCCAGTTTCAGTGCACAAACATACGATTTACAAAACATGAACACTACTCAACACCGTTGCTCATACTGAGTAGCTTTTCTCTTGGGGGACAGGATACATTGTAGAAAACCCAATAAGATGGAATATTAGAGCACTAGCTTGGGGAATAAATGTGCAATAGTCCTGCAAGATATTATAATTAAGCCATCAACATATGAATGCGTTTCTCCATACAAGATATTATAATTAATTTATCAATATATGAATATTTTTCTCCATAGCTCTTCACAGGAAGGCCAGAAAGGAAGGGAAGGGTGACAATCAAGTCATTAAAAACAAGAGTAAGCATAAGAAGAGAGGGGAAAAAGAAGGTAACAGAAAGAATGAATTTGCAGGCTAACATTTTAAAACTCAGGAGAGAGACAGCGGAAAAAAAAAACTATTCCCCATTTAATAAATGGTGCTGGGAAAACTGGCTAGCCATATATAGAAAGCTGAAACTGGATCCCTTCCTTACACCTTATACAAAAATTAATTCAAGATGGATTAAAGACTTAAACATTAGACCTAAAACCATAAAAACCCTAGAAGAAAACCTAGGCATTGCCATTCAGGACATAGGCATGGGAAAGGACTTCATGTCTAAAACACCAAAAGCAATGGCAACAAAAGCCAAAATTGACAAATGGGATCTAATTAAACTAAAGAGCTTCTGCACAGCAAAAGAAACTACCATCAGAGTGAACAGGCAACCTACAAAATGGGAGAAAATTTTCGCAACCTACTCATCTGACAAAGGGCTAATATCCAGAACCTACAATGAACTCAAACAAATTTACAAGAAAAAACAAACAACCCCATCAAAAAGTGGGCGAAGGACATGAACAGACACTTCTCAAAAGAAGAAATTTATGCAGCCAAAAAACACATGAAAAAATGCTCACCATCACTGGCCATCAGAGAAATGCAAATCAAAACCACAATGAGATACCATCTCACACCAGTTAGAATGGCAATCATTAAAAAGTCAGGTGCTGGAGAGGATGTGGAGAAATAGGAACACTTTTACACTGTTGGTGGGACTGTTAACAAGTTCAACCCTTGGGGAAGTCAGTGTGGCGATTCCTCAGGGATCTAGAACTAGAAATACCATTTGACCCAGCCATCCCTTTACTGGGTATATACCCAAAGGACTATAAATCATGCTGCTATAAAAACACATGCACACATTATGTTTATTGAGGCACTATTCACAATAGCAAAGACTTGGAACCAAGCCAAATGTCCAACAATGATAGACTGGATTAAGAAAATGTGGCACATATACACCATGGAATACTATGCAGCCATAAAAAATGATGAGTTCATGTCCTTTGTAGGGACATGGATGAAATTGGAAGTCATCATTCTCAGTAAACTATCGCAAGGACAAAAAACCAAACACGCCATATTCTCACTCATAGGTGGGAATTGAACAATGAGAACATATGGACACAGGAAGGGGAACATCACACTCTGGGGACGGTTGTGGGGTGGGGGGAGTGGGGAGGGACAGCTTTAGGGGATATACCTAATGCTAAATGATGAGTTAATGGGTGCAGCACACCAGCACGGCACATGTATACATATGTAACTAACCTGTACATTGTGCACATGTACCCTAAAACTTAAAGTATAATAATAATAAAAGAAAAAAAAAACTGTACCAATTTCAACAAAGCCAGTAAGTTAAATAATTTTTTGAGGGAATTAACAATTATAATGCAATGTAAGAATGGCACTTTACAAGTGTGTTTCTCAAAATTAAAAAAAAAATTATATATATAACCAAAGATGCAAGATTATGAAAAAAATACATGAATAGAGAACATGTACGTATGAATAAACAAATATAAAATTCAATTATTAGAATAAAAATAGTATTAATATTTGAGAAAAATTCTAGAGAAGATTCAGTAAAAAGAGCTTCCAGTGCATATTTAACATGTATTTCAGAAGTAAAGAATACAGAAAAGAATAGAGAAGCAACATTCAAATGTTTTTTATTTAGAATTTTCCTTAAATGAAAAAATATATTAGTTCTTAACTGGGAAAGACACACAAAGTAAAATAAACATGAATAAATATAAACAGATATTACATAGACCTATACAATTAAATAAATGACAAAACAGTAAAAACAACTAAAAAGAAAATGCAGAATTGTTGATAAATAGTAATAGATTAATAAAGATTTCTCATATTCAAAAATGCTTTACAAAAGACCTTAAAATACCAGCTTCAATCCTTAAATAATAAAAATATTAAATAATAAAAATCAATCAAGACAAATGGTATATAAATATATTTTAAGTACACCAATACAAATGTATATCTCCTCTGAAAAAGTTTTCTCACAGTATTTATCAGTAAAAATACAAATGATCAAAGAAGATGCAGTAAACCAATCCTTAATACAATATGAAACAAATCTAAGTTTAAATAATAGTGACCAATTTACAGGTGATATCAAAAAGGCAAACCTAAAACGCTCCACAGCAATAACAAGTAAGAACGAGAGGCACATTTTCAAATAATTTAAGACATGCTAAGTTTTTTTTTTCTTGATTCAGAGGAGGAGAGATACATTGAATAATTTGAAGAATAAAAATTATTTTAGGTAAATTATTAAATATCAAAATCATTGCTGTCAAAATATGTGTGTATGTGTATTTCAGCTAAAAATAAGGAAAACAATACATAGAGAATGCATTGTAAGCAAAATACAAAGCAACATTTCTAAAAATATTATCATACGGTATATAAATATTATATTATCACAGTAATTTTTAAAAGTTAATAACTATTAAGAGACAGAGAAACTGAGATTGGATAAGAAACTTTTGTTGATCTATATTACTCTTAGGTAATTATGATAAACAGAATCTAGTAAAAATATGTTTTAATTTTTAAGATAAATGAAAATAGTGCAATATCAGTGTACAACAATTTTTTTGCTTAATAATTGTGGTAAAAAATGTAACATGAGATTTACACTCTTATATTTTAAAGTGCACAATGCAGTATTGTTAAGTATAAGCACAACGTTATACTATAGATATCTATGATTTATTCATTTTGAATTAGTGACATTTTATACCCATTGAATAACCCATTCCCTCCTCCACTCAATTGCTGGCAACTACCCTTCTATTCTAAGTTTCTATGAGTTTGACTAACTCCTATACTTCATATATAAATTTTGAATGTAATTATTCAAAATTCATTCTTCTGTGACTGGCTTATTTCACTTATCATTATGTCTTCCAAATCCATCCACAGTGTTGCATATGGCAGTATTGCCTTCATTTTAAGGCTGAATAAGGAGCCAGTATATGTATATAACACATTTTCCTTTTCCATTCATCTGGCAATGTATATTTAGGTTCTCAAATCTAGATTTGTGAATAATGCTGCAATGAACATGAGAGTACAAATATCTCTTCAATATCCTTATTTCAATTTCTGTGGATATATACCCAGAATTGGAATTTCTCACTTATAAGGTAATTCTATTTTTAATTTTTGAGAGAACTCCATACTGATTTCCATAAAGGCTAAATCATTTTACATTCATACCAACATTGTGCAGGGTTCCAATTTCTTTATGTAGTGCCAACATGTTTTCTTTGTTAATTTAGCAATAATCTTCCTAACAAGTGTGAGGTGATACCTGCTTGTGATTTTAAATTGCATTTCCCTGATAAATAGTGATACTGAGCATATCTTTATATGCCTGTTTGTCTTCTGTATTTCTTCCTTGGAGAAATTTCTATTCAAGCCCTTTACCTATTTTTAAATTGTTTAACCCCTTGTCAGATGTATGGTTTTCAAGTATTTTCTCCCATTCTGAAGGTTGCTTTTTCACTCTGTTTCTTTTGTTCCGAAAATACTTTCATTTTGATATTGTTCCACTTTTCTGTTTGTACTCTTGTTGCTTTTGCTTTTGCTGTCGTATAAAATAAGTCATTGTCTAGACCAATGTCATGAAGCTTTCCTCCTGTTTTCTTCTAGGAGTTTTACAGGCATAGGCTTTATGTTCAACGTTTTAATCAATTTTGGGTTGATTTTTGTGTATGGTGTAATATAAGAGTCCAGTTTCATTCTTCTGTATGTGGATATGCAGTTTTCATATCACCATTTATTGAAGAGATTCTCCTTTACCCATTGTGTTTTTCGGGGACCATTGTAAAAAGTCAGCTAACCACATATATGTGGGTTTATTTCTCAGCTCTCTATCTGCTCTATTGGTTTTTATGTCTGTCTTTAAGTCAGTAGACTGCTTAAATACTGTAGCTTTGTAATGTATTTTAAAATCAGAAAGTTTGATGTCACTAGCTTTATTCTTCTTTCTCAAGATTGCTTTGGTTATTCAGGGTTTTTCTGGTTCCATACGAATTTTAGGATTTTTTTTAAATTTCTCTATAATAATACCATTGAGATTTTGATAGAGATTGCATTGGTTCTGTAGGCCACTTTAGGTAGAATTGACATTTAAACAATATTACATTATCTAACTTAAGAACACAGATTTTTTTTTCATTTTTCTGTTTCTTTTTCAGTGTATTTAATGGCGTTTTATAGTTTTCAGTGTACCAGATTTTTGCCTCCTTGGTTAAGTTTTTTCCTTAGTATTTTATAATTTTTTATTATATTGTAAACTGGAAGGTTTTCTTAATTAATTTTCAGACAGTTCAGTGTTGGTGTATGACAATGTAACTAATTTTTTCATGTAATTTTGCATCCCATAATTTTACTGAATTTGTTTATTAGTTTTAGCAGTTATTTTTGTAGTCTCTTTAGGGTTGTCTGCCTACAAGATCATATCATCTGTATGATCCTCTTACTTTCTGATTTGAATAACTTTTTTTTTTCTTTTGCGACGGAGTTTTGATCCTGCTGCCCAGCCTGGAGTGCAGCGGCATGATCTCGGCTCGCTGCAACCTCTGCCACCCGGTTCAAGCGATTCTCCCACCTCAGCCTCCTGAGTAGCTGGGACAACAGGTGCATGCCACCAGGCCCAGCGATTTTTTTTTCTTTTGTATTTTTAGTAGAAACAGGGTTCTGCCATGTTGACCAAGTAGGTCTGGAACTCCTGACCTCAAGTGATCCACCAACCTCAGCCTTCCAAAGTGGTGGGATTACAGGCGTGAGCCACCATGCTCAGCCTGATTTGACTTTTGTATTTTCTTCACTTATTACTCTGTACAGTTTTTTTTAGTACTACTTTAAATAGAAGTTTTAAGGCATATGAAAACTGTTAAGGACAAATGAGAACAATAGTTATTGAAAAAAAAAGTATCCTCCAAAACATTCTTCTTAATTGACTAGTATGGATTTAACCTCAATGTATAAAAATAGATAAGCAGAAACTTCTGTAAAAACATATACATTGACCAACTTAAAAATGAGATTTTTTTATTATACTTTAAATTTTAGGGTAGATGTGCACAACGTGCAGGTTAGTCACATATGTATACATGTGCCGTGTTGGCGTGCTGCACCCAGTAACTCGTCATTTAACATTAGGTATATCTCCAAATGCTATCCCTCTCCCCTCCCCCCAAAATGAGATATTTTTAATACGTCTTTGAAATGTAGAACAAAAATTTTTAAGAAAATAGAATATGTCAGTAACACGATAAAAAAGTTTGAAGCCATAGAAGTAAGGATGAGAGAAAAAGAGAAAGAGAGAGAGAGAAAAAACATGTACTGTCTTTTATAATCCAGTCTTGGATGTCCCATAGCATTGCTTCTGCTGCCTTGTATTAGATGAGGCAGTTACCAACTTCAGCCAATGTTCAGATGAAGGGAATATATACACCTATGAGAGAAAAACCAGTGTCACAGAATTTCTAAAAAAAGGACTTCTGAAATAGGATTTATATTAATATAGACATTTTGTGATTTTCAATCTATTTATAACATTTGAAATGTTTGGATGCCCCATTCTTAAATTCATTGGGGCTTACTCAACAGGTGTGTAATTTATGCATGTATATATACATGGTGCTACATACCTAACTTCCTCAACTTTTCTACATCCGTCTTAGTTTATCTTGGACTAGAAGTCTAAGTATTAACTCAATTACTTAACTATCATTAAAAACATAATTTAGGATTCCAAATGTCAATTTAAATTTCTTGCTATGTTTCTGAAGTTAAGAAATTACTTGGAGTATACTATTCAGTTGGTTTATTTTATCTTGTGGATAATAATGTGGGAAATTAGAAAGCCAAGATAGTATTATTTTGTTAAGCAGATAAATAAAAATATAAAAATCCAGTCTGAAATAAAGTAAAAAAGTAACATTTGAATAATAATGTTTACCACAATGTACAGGTTTACAGTTTGAAGATTGTAACATATTTTAGTGCCTCAGTTGTCATTTTATTCATTACAGAAATTGGCTTCGATATGTCAGCTATGACTTTATTTAAAACCATGGCCAAAACATTAATATTCCCACAAGAGAAATTTCAGTCATTATATTGATTTTTATCCTGCAGTATAATTCACCATTGTGTGCATGTTCCATTTGCTTTCTAATTTATATTAACTGCCCTATTTATTGTGGTAAGAGGTTGCTCTTATGAAGTACTTGGGTGACCTAAGAGTTTACATAATTTATTTGATAAGACTACTTAGCTGTAATATGTTGCAATTTTTTAGCCAGTCAACAGTCTATACAGAATTATATAAGCAACCATAAATAACTTATTTCTATGTGGAGATGTCTATTTCAAGATTTTAAAAAATTACTTAACATTTTAGGAGTATTACTCAAATAACTGATTTATACTGTGCCTTACTTATCTTCCAGAAAGTGTGAATATATCTGTACCCATTTTAGATAACAATATGTATTAACAAATAGTAAAAATATTATATGATGTACAAATATATAAAGCTTCCTCAATCAATACCAATCAATTGGTTCTGAACTGTTTGTCTTTTTTTCAGAATTAATATGTTAGCAATATTCATATTATGCTTTATATCACTAGTCCTCAAAAGGCAGTCTTTAGAACAGCAGCCTCAGCACCACTTGGGAGATTGTTACAAATGCAGTCTTAGATCTCCATCACACTTACTGATTCAGCATCTGTGGGGATGAGGCCTGGCAATTTGTATTTGTACAAGGCTTCCAGGTGCATGCTGTAATTTGAGAACCAACTCTATATTCATTTTCTGAGTTGACATTCATTTAGATTAAACACTGGACTTAGTTCAGATTATTTTCAAGTCGGGATAGGGACTAAGTATGTGATGAGCTCTTTCGAAGAAATCCTATAAATGAATTACAATAGAAATTCTTGGCCTCTTGCTTGAGCAATGCAACAAACTAGTGTATACCATATCTCCTATCACAAAAGGATTATTTCCCACACATAATTTAGCATTCCTAGGAAGTATTTTCAGTCAAGGTCATTACAGCTAAATAAATTAAATAGTAAACCATTACTATTTTCTCAAATAATGTTGGCAAGTCTTAGCCCTCTTAAAATCAAGACTAATTGTTTTTTGTTTTGTTTGTTATTCTTGTTGTTGTTGTTTGTTTTTGAGATGGAGTCTCGCTCTGTCACCCAGGTTGGAGTACAGTGGCGTGATCTCGGCTCACTGCAACCTCCACCTTCCAGGTTCAAGTGATTCTCATGCCTCAGCCTCCCAAGTAGCTAGGATTACAGGTGCACATCATAACCTGGTTAATTTTTGTATTTTTAGTAGAGATAGGGTTTCACCATGTTGGCCAGGGTGGTCTTGAACTCCTAACCTCAGGTGATCTGCCTGCCTCGGCCCCCCAAAGTGCTGGGATTACAGGCTGCCTTGAGTGGCTTCTAAAAACACAATCACCAAAATTCCCCAAGTTGGACCTACAAACATTGTTTGTTGACAAATTATTATGGATTTGGATGCCCTTTTTGCTGGTAGAGAATTTTATTGTCATGTGGATTCCATGTTTCTTCACTATCTTTTAGCTCTAAATGTAGGTCTGCTCTACCTGTTTACTGTTTTCTATACCATCTTCTTGCTTTGCATGTATGCAAAGTATAGTTAAAAAACTTTCCCATGGCCAGGTGTGGTGGCTTATGCCTGCCAATCCCAGCCCTTTGGGAGGCCTAGGCGGGTGGATCACCTGAGGTCAGGAGTTTGAGACCAGCTTGGCCAACATGGTGAAACTCCATCTCTACTAAAAATACAAAAATAAAAAAATAGCCAGACATGGTGATGGGCACCTGTAATCCCAGCTACTTCGGAGGCTGAGATGGGAGAATCTCTTGAACCCGGAAGGCGGAGGTTGCAGTGAGCTGAGATCATGCCACTAGACTCTATCCTGGGTGACAGAGTGAGACTGTGTCAAAAACAAACAAACAAACAAACAACAAAACCTTCCCATGTACCCTATTTACTCATAGAGAAAGCTTTAGAATACCATCATAGGTCACATAACCATGTGTAACACAAAATTTATAACTTTCCAAATGAGATTGAAACCTTTTCTGTCAATTAGTCTGACTCTACCATTTTCTTTTTTAACTTGAAATTATAAAAACCTGATTATTACATTTTTATGGCATTAATTTAATTTTTAGCATTTATAATGACTAATGAACCCATTTTTTCTCTCAAATTTAATTTCCTAATTTTTTGATAATCATTCTTTATCACATCTGAGGAGTTTAGAAATGGACATGTACATCTGTGAAGCTATGACTTTCGTGTAGTTCTATTTGACTTTCTGAGTCTCTATCTTCCTCCTATTCATAGAGTTTTCTTAAAACCTATGTATATCCTCCAAACAGCCTTTCTCTATCTTCTTTTCTGAATCCAGAGTGAATTAGGTGAATATGATGAACAGTTTGTAGCCTTTCTATATGAACAGAAAAAATGTAAAAAGCCTCGTTTGGGGCTTTACTCTTTATGATGTGAAGTTCATTATGCTTATTTCAGAGATGTTCATATTAGACCCTAAGATTTTCTGTCCCATGACTCTTGGGATTCTAAATAAGGTAAGCAAATGGAATGGCATGTTTACATTCTAATCTAAACGCTATTTTGTGGTAATAGGATTTTCTTTTAGGATGTTAAAATGTGTTGAGGAGCATGCCTGCAGAGACCACACAGTGCACAGAATGAGCCAAATCATCCCATTACATTCAATTAGGTATGGTAAGAAAGATAAACATAACAAATGAGCCTGCGGAATATGCAAACAGTTTGAAGGAAAAAAATGGAAATGAGAGAACTGCCAAATGACAAGCAAGCGCTGGTACTTTGGCAAAAGATTTAAGTGACATTTCTTTCAGACATTAATAAAGTCATAATGATGGTATTATTTAAAGAGTAGTATTAAATAGAGAACCAATCCTTCAGGTTTCTTCAAATGAGATGAATATCTCTTTCCTTGCTAGGTGTTTAAAGAATCATTTTCATATCTGTAAGTACCATTTCACGGAATGACTTATCTTCTGTGCAGTTCCTCTTAACTCAGTCATGCTCAGGTTTATTAATTACTTAGCACAAAGCAACATATATTAGTGTAAGAAAAATATAAAATAACAGAATACTGTGCTCTGCTGAATTTCACCTAAAGCTGGCTTAAGAACATTTTTTAATCATTTTACCCATAGACTAGCTGATGCCCTTTGATCAATTAATTATTCTATAATCTCTTCTCTAACTTTTAGTTATTCTAGCATTCTCTTGAAAGTTTTTTTTTCGTCCTTGATTTATGAGTATTTTCCCCCAAATTTCAAAATACTAGAAACTAAGTGCAGGTTTTTGCTGATAATAAAAGTAATACAACTAATACATCATGTGGGTTTGACTATTGAATGAACATATTCAATAATTTGAATGTACACATAAATGAACATATCATGGAATATTTCTAATATCCTTTCAGCTTTCATATTTATTTCTGAAAACAACTGACTTAAGCCAGGCATGGTGGCTCACACCTGTAATTCCAGCAATTTGGGAGGCTGAGGTGGGTGGATCTCTTGAGGTCATGAGTTTGAAACCAGCCTGGCCAACATGGTGAAACCCCATCTCTACTAAATTACAAAAAAAATTATATAAGCGTGGTGTCGTGCACCTGTAATCCCAGCTCCTTGAAAGACTGAGGTTGGAGAATCGCTTGAATGAAAAAGGCAGAGATTGCAGGGAGCCATCAGGCCACTTCATTCCAGCCTGGGCAACAGAGTGAGACTCTCTCTCAAAAAAACAAACGAAAACAACAAGAACAACAAGAAAATAATTGACATTAATAATTTCAACTGTTGTTTCTGTTAAAGTGGTTTCAAATTGCATGTAGTTTCTAATTTTTTTTCAGTATCACATTTCCACATTTCCTTATTTACAATTGGTTTGCAGCCAGTGCATTGAAAAGTGAATTCCCTTTTAAGCAGATTTGGATTATAATTCCAAAAGACACAATCCTCAATACTGAAATCCCTAAATATCAAAATTCCTAAAGATAAAAATCTCTAAAGCCGAAGCCTCTAAAATTGAAAATCTCCAATGTCTAATTAAACTTCCAAATTGTAATGACAGACTTGGCATTAGGAGTGATCAAGATTTCTAAAAGTGAATTTCAAGTTATCATCTATAAATTTTTTTCATTTCAGCCCAGTAAATGTGGCAGAAAGTCAAGATAAGTGGATTTGCCATGCAATATGGCAACATGGAAAACTTCAATTTAAAAAAGCATCATTTGTCAGCATTGGCATTCCCATCGATTGATGAAATTCCAGGAGTTTTTTTTTTTTTTTTTTTTTTTTGAGACGGAGTTTCTCTCTTTCGCCCTGGCTGGAGTGCAGTGGCGCTATTTCAGCTCACTGCAAGCTCCGCCTCCCGGGTTCACGCCATTCTCCTGCCTCAACCTCCTGAGTAGCTGGGACTACAGGCGGTAAAAATCCAAAAAAAAAAAAAAAAAAAAAAAATTAGCTGGGCGTGGTGGCGGGCGCCTGTAGTCCCAGCTACTCGGGAGGCTGAGGCAGGAGAATGGCAGGAACCAGAAGGCAGAGCTAGCAGTGAGCCGAGATAGCACCACTGCACTCCAGCCTGGGCGACAGAGCGAGACTCCATCTTAAAAAAAAAAAAAAAATTATGTTTGCCCTAAGAAGCCAGTGAAGTTACTGAACTTCAAAAATGGCAACTGTGTTGTTGTTGAATCAACAGTGTTATTTCAGCCGAATTTGTGGTCTGCATCTAAGTGCACACAAAATGGATTTCCACATGTCCAAAACAACATAAAAGCATGGCATAGAAGATGAAAAATTTTAATAAGAAATGCTCATGTTCATTTATAGCAAATCATAGAAGTATTTAGGTAAGAGTAGTGTCACATAGAAAATGAATGTGAATGAATTTTCTGAGAAAAGCTGTGTCTTTAACAAAAGCAGCTATTTCTTGTGAGGTAAAACTTCAAAATATAATTAATGCTTGTGAAAATCTACCAGCTCTTATTGACTATCTCTGTGCAACTGCTCAACTGCTCATAATCTATCACTGCAATAAACTTTTTCATATGTCAGATTTTCTTTTTAGATTTTTTCATTATTTTGAACTGTCAGCATTATTCTTTACAATTTTTATGCTAAGTATTTCACCTTTGTATCATTTCCAATACTGAAAGTATAAATTGTGTAGAGACTTTTAGAGAGTTTAATTTGTTTATGCGTTTTTTTGCAAATTTGATTCCAAGAAAGAACATTATCACATTTGCTTTGTGTGTAAGTATTCTGCATGTACCTAAAAATGTTGACACTTCCTCAGTAAAGGAAGATATGTTTTTGCTGTATATATGCATTTGTGAAAGATACAATTTGTTGGGATCTTGGCTGTTTGGGCAACTCCATATATAGTGGTGACCTACTGTGGTTTTGTATTGACCTTGTCAAAAGACCTAGGTTGTTTATCATGGTATTACAGATGACTACATTTATGAAGCTGAGTACACACAGTTACTAACCAAAGTGACATGTATTTATCCATTTCCCTTTCTGTCCTACCATCTATGAATAAGTTTTGTCTGTTCATAACTGTTGTACTCATGCAACTGTGATTAGTACACCCAAATGTTTATGCTTGCAAAAATATGTATGCTATTTTTGCCTATTTTATTGTGCAAAGTGGCAAATGATGTGTTCTGTTGTGTTTTTATATGTTTGTCAAATAAATCTCCTTTTGAAAATGTAAACACATTTATTTTAAAGATTTCTAAAAATTTTTTTTCAGAAATATATTTACAGGATTTTGATTTTTGGGGATTTCAACATGCAGAATTAACAGGTTCAGGAGTTTATCTTTTGGGATGGTGATTAGCTATCCTTTTAAATATGTACTTGTTCCCAACTTTCCTTTTACTGTTTTTAAGACTTTTAGTCTATTTAGAACTGCAACTTCAAATCAGTGGGACTGCAATCTTTCCATTGCTTTTTCTTTCTTATGTATTGTATGTTCTTTTTCAAAGCCTCTTTCAAAATGGATTATTTTTCTCCTTAGCTAACTTGGAAACCAAGAAGTGAATCCTTATGCCTAGATGTTAAGCATTTGGATTTCTTACATATTGTCACCTTTATGTATCCTGCAACCAGCTGCAGCATTGCTTAGGTAGCCCCTCCAAAATACCTGTTTTGTTAATTATTGCCCATGGTACCTTTTTACTCTGTCTAGATCCATTCAATATTTATTGGGTACATACTACAGTCCTTGCCCTCTTGAGGTCTTATGCTGTTCAAACCTAAGTATTTTGTCACCAGTTCCCATCACCAGAAGCGTGCTGTCTAATACAAATATAAAATAAGCCTAAAAATGAGAGCTTGATATCATTTGGCTCTGCATCCCCACCCAAATCTCATGTTGAATTATAATCCCTAGTGTTGGAGGTGGGGCTGGGTGGGAGGTGATTGGATCATGAGAGTGTTTTCTAATGGTTTAGCACCGTTAGTGCTGTCTCAAAAGATCTGATTGTTTAAAGGTGTGTGGCACCTTCCCCTTCACTCTGTCTCTCTCCTGTCCCACCGTGTGAAGATGTGCCTCCTTCCACTTTTGCTTTCTGGCATGAGTAATAATTTCCTGAGGCCACACCAGCCATGCTACCTGTAAAGCCTGCAAAACCATTAGCCAATTAAGCCTGTTTATAAATTATGCAGTCTCAGGTAGTTATTTATAGTAGGGTAAGAATGAACTAATGAAGATAATTGGTACCAGGAATGGGGTATTGTTATAAAAATACCTGAAAATGTGGAAGTGGTTTTGAAACTGAGTAAGAGCTGAGGTTGAAACTGTTTGAAGGGCTCACAAGAATATGGGAAGATGAGGGAAAATTTGGAACTTCCTAGAGATTTGTTAAATGGCTGTGACCAAAATACTGATAGTGATATGGACAGTGAAGTCCAGGCCTAGGTGGTCTCAGATAGAGATGAGGAACTTATTGCAAACTGAGTAAAGTTCACTCTTATTATGCTTTAGCAAAGAGACTGGCAACATTTTGCTCCTGCTCTAGGGATCTATGGAACTTTGAACTTGGGAGAGATGATTTAGAGTATCTGGCAGAAGAAACATTCTAATCAGCAAAGCACTCAAGATGTGGCCTGGCTGCTTCTAACAGTGTATGTTTATATTCATGAGCAAATAGATTTTCTAATATTGAAACTTATATTTAAAGGGAAAGCAGCACATAAAAGTTTGGAATATTTCCAGTCTGACCATGTGGTAGAAATGAAAAACCTATTTTCTAAGGAGGAATTCAAGGCAGCTGTAGAAATTTTCATAAGAAAAGAGAAGCCAAATGTTAATAGCCGATACAATGGGCTAAATGACTTGAAGGCATTTCAGATACCTTCATTGCAGCTCCTCCCATCACAAACCTGGAGGCCTAGGAGAAAAGAATGGTTTTGAGGGACAGACCCAGGGCCCTACTACACTGTGCAGCCTTGGGGCATTGCACCCTGCATTATGGCCATTCTAGCTCCAGATCCACCTCCAGCTATGGCTAAAAGGGACCAAGGTATAGCTCAGGCCTTTGCTTCAGATGTTGCAAGCCCTAAGCCTTGGCAGCTTCCATGTAGTGTTAAGCCTTCAGGTGTGCAGAGGGCAAAAGTTGAGGCTTGGAAGCTTCTGTCTAGATTTCAGAGGATATATGGAAATGCCTGGATGTCCAGGCAGAAGTCTGCTGAGGGGGTGGAGCCCTCATCATGAATCTCTACTAGGGCAGTGCAGAGGAGATATGTGGGGTTGGAGCCCCCACACAGAGTCCCCACTGGGGCACTGCCTAGTGGAGCTGTGAGAGAGGGCCACTGTTCTCCAGACCCCAGAATGGTAGGCCCACCATCTTGCACTTGGAAAAGCCACAGGCACTCAATGACAGCCCAGGAGAACAGCTGAGGGGGCTGTACCCTGCAGAGCCAAAGGGGCAGGGCTGCCTAAGGCCTTGGGAACCCACCCCTTGCATCAGTGTTGCCTGGATGTCAGACATGGTGTCAAAGGAGATTATTTTGGAGTTTTGAGAATTAATGACTGTTCTTCTGGGTTTTGGACTTGCATCGGGCCTGTAGCTCCTCTGCTTTGGTTAATTTCTTCCTTTTAGAGAAGGAGCATGTACCACATTCCTGTACCCCCATTGTATCTTGAAAATAACTACATTGTTTTTATTTTACAAGGTCATAGGCAGAAGGGACTTGCTTTTTCTCAGATTAGACTTTGGAATTGAACTTTTGCGTTAATGCTGGAATGAGTGAAGACTTTGGGGGACTGCTGGGAAGGCATGATTGCCTTTTGAAATGTGAGAAGAACGTGAGACTTGGGAGGGACCAAGGGGAAATAATATGGTTTGGTTCTGTGTCCCAACCCAAATATGATGTTGAATTATAATCCCCAGTGTTGGAGGTGGGGCCTGGTGGGAAGTGACTGGATCATGAGGGTGGTTTTTAATGGTTTAGCACCATCCCCCTAGTGTTGTCTCATAATAAGAGTTCTCATGAGATCTGGTTGCTTAAGAGTGTGTGGCACCTTCCTCTTCATACTCTCTCTCTCTCGCTCTGCCATGTGAAGACATGCCTGCCTCCCCTTTTGCTTTCTGCCATGATTGAATGTTTCCTGAGGCCTCACCAGCCTGAAAAAATTGTGTATGAATTAAACCTATTTTATTTATAAATTACCCAGTCTCAGGTAGTTCTTTATGGAAATGTGAGAATGGGCTAATAGAGAGCCATAGGTGTAATTAAACATTTTATAATAGCCACATTAAAAAATAAAAATCAACAGTTAAAATTTGTTTTAATTATATATTTTATTTTGCTATGTATGTCAAAAATGTATCTGATGTGTCACAAGTATTCTTATTTTCACTACATTTTAAGTTTGCAAATAGAGAAATGGGCTAGTAGCCTGTATGTTAGGCAGAGCAGTTCTAGAAAATGGAATTCTTCTCAACACCTTTCCTGACTAAGTTTATTTTAGTATAATCATTCCTTTTTTTTTCTTTCTCACAGCAATGTTTGAATAAAATAGAGGAAAACATAAAAGTCAAGGAGCAAACAACTGAAACTAGAATTTGCTTAAATTTTATTTTACCCTTCTGGTAGACTAGCCATTTAAATAATCTGAATTCTACTGTCCTTAATTTACTTTTTCTTCAAAACCTATGTACATGGTTAAAAAATGAATGCTAATTCAAAACATCTAACCAAACCCATGAATTCCTGTCCTAAATCCATTTCACTTTTGCTTCACACTCACTAGTATCAACAAATTGCAATTCATTCAGTTGTTTCTTCTGGCACCTACTTTCCTATTTTTAATATATAATCTACTGACTTTTATAAATGTTTTATTTCATATATCATTTATTGATTTCCAAACACAGACCATGAGAATGTTGTATTCTTAAAACTGTCCCCCTCCACATCCACACTTTCAAACTTTATCTTTCTCTCTTGTCTTTCCTCTCCAAGCTCCTATTATATTTATATCACAGTTTCCAGTTGAATCTATACATTACTTGGACCATGTAAATGTTGTTCACAACTGAGCAAATACAGTATATTTACATTCTTTTTTTGAGCATCTAATGATTTTCTCTAGAAAAAATAATTGCTCACTATTTTTTTTGTCTTTACATCTGATAATATATCTATTTTTTTCTCCAGTTTTCCAGTCTGGCTGGGAGCCTTATAGTCTCCACTCAATATAGCAAAACACATTAAATAACATAACTTCCTTTTATTTTGCTTGAAATATCTTATATTCTTAAATATTCTCTCCAGTTACTCCAATCTGGGTTGGATATTCTTAGAATCAGCTTCACAGATCTTTTTGGGAGTGCCTTAAATCTCTCTTCTGTATTGGATATTTTGTATTGTATGGATTTGTGGACACTGTGTTGGCTCAACCTTAATTTGCTATGTTGTTTAGAAAAAGCACATGCTTGTAGTAGTGTCCTGAACATTAGTGTTTTGGTGCTATATTAGTTTTGAGAACCCAGATGCTGAAATTATTTTATTTTTAGAAATAAGACATTTTAAAAATGCGGATGGGTATATACCAAAAATGGTGAATGAGTCTTGTTCAGCCTCCCATTCTCAAAATGTGGCAGAATACAATTCTTATCTTCTGAGAGAGAAGGGCTAAGGGAGAGAAGGATAAAGCTCTTAGTGTATGAAAAAAGTAGGCAACATTTTCTCAGGTGGAAGGCAGATACATTGTGATTTCTAATGTTCTCATGTTTCTCCTGGCTCATCTGGAAAATGAATGAAACCAGCACTAAATAACCTGTATTTCTTAGAATCTCTCTTTAGCCATAGCAATTAAATAGCCAACGGCCCAAGAATCATCTCCACTTGTCTTTCTAACCAGAACAGACAAACACCATTATGTGACTCTAACAAGCACCTGGGACCATAAAGATTAGGGATATATAGCCAGAACTATATATGTCTAGAATTTCTAGACAGAATTCTGAAGACTTACCCTAACAACTTTAAATTTCATGGGATTTAAGTTTTTGAATTACACTTAACATATTATTGTGAAGATTTTACACAATTATCTTCACAATTCAATGCTTTTGGGAGGTTAAGTATAGAAACCTATGTTGGAAAGAATTTTTCTTCTGAAGTTGAAAGCATTTATCTATTGTTCTCTCACTTCCAGCATCACTGTTGTAATATCTGATGGTATTTGGATCCTAGTTCCCTTTTGTGTAACTTTCCTCCAGTTCCTGAAAGGCTTTAGAACTTTCTTTTTATCCCCAGTCCTCTGAAAGGTATTGATGACTGACTGAGACATCTTTTTCATTCATCGTGCTAGGAATTCAGTGGGCTTTTTAAATTCAGAAACTTACGAGCTGAGCTGAAATGATTTTCCTTACTTCATTTACCTCATCTACTTTCTGGAAAATTTTTTCAACATTCTACTAAAATTTTATTTTCTCCTATTATTTTTTAAAACTTTAATAGACTTTTAATTCTCTGGTTATTCATTTGAAAGAATTGCTATTCTTTCACTAAACCAGTATTTTTTTCATTTATAGTTACTTTAAAATATTTTCTTTGTTACATGTGGCATCTAAATTTCCTCCAGTCTTCATTTGCTTATCTTCATTTTAGAGACTCTCCCTCAGTGTGTGAAGTTCAATGTATATATAGCCATGTATAAAAGAAAAACACTAAAAAATTAAGTAGAGATCATAGATGCATGAGCTGCACTTTTTGAGAAGTGTAGGGTAATAGGCCAGGATACAGATATTTTCTTGGAAGCCCTTAGATATTACTGCAGAATTTCTCTCTTGGTCAGCTTTTTAGAGAGGAATTATCTAACATTTTGCCTAACAAGTATAAATAGGTTGGTATTATTCTGGAAGATGAGTTAGAGAAATGGTATGCAGGTTTTAACTTATTTCTCTTAACTTTGGTAAAGAGTAGCCCCCAACCTCATCCATTTTAACGCATATGAGTCTATAAACTCTTGCATTTAGTTTTTGCAGAAAATAAAACTCCATCCTCCTACTTGGGTGGGAGACAGATGGTTGCCTGCTTGGTTTGGAGAGAGAGGTGAGAGTCTAAATATTCTCTATACTTTATTTTCAAGCAGTTATTCTGCTTTTATTCTCATTTTTCACAATCTAAGTATCTAGTAATTCTGTTTTTTGGGGACTTTCAAAATCTGCTTGATTTTAGTTGGCTTCCTTGACATTAGCATCTTCTTTTACTGGCATATAGCTTTCAGCATCCCTTACTCTGAAAATATCAGCATTTGCCTATTTGAATTTCATCTTACAAATTGTGTTGGTTTTCTTGTCTTCTATAGTCTCTTCCCTGTGCTTCGTGGATTTCATTTTTATCTATTTATACACGATTTGATTTATACCATGATTGATTATAATTTTTTATGAACCTTCTAAGAAAACAGAGATAAATTATTTCAGCTATTCATGTTTAAGCAGGAGTCTCAAGTTCTTCAAATTGAAAATGACAGCTACTTATTAAGATTGTGAAAAGACTAAATGAGGCTAAATGAGACATATGTGCAAATCTCCTAATACTGTTTTGTCACCTAGTTAGTTAACACCCTATCTTTAAATTTTAATGTATACAGTCTCTACTAAAGTAGACTAAAATTATTTCTCAAGTCAGGGACCATAATTCCTCTTTATTTTGTTTGCACTCATTTTTATATACTTAATAAATTGAAAATATTCAATAAATACTTAACCATTGAAAATATGTGTTTCAGAAGTTCAAAATGTGACTTATTTTCACACAGATATATAACTTAAAAATAAATTATCTCTCTACTAAGTAAAAATCTTTGTTCTTACTTAGCTTTATAATCTAGTCCTAAAAGATTATTACAGCCAAAATTAACTCACTAATTTGTGCAATTCTTTTCAAATGGAGCTATAATGGTAGTTTGTTTTACATAAATACAGTATAAAAATGACTTTTCCCACAAAAGCATTTCTCAAAAAAATTGACCACTGCATTTTCTATATTAAAACATTCAAATACTTGTTATGAGGTTTGCGATTATAAGACGTGTGTGTGTGTGTGTGTGTGTGTGTGTGTGTTATATTATGTAATTCACTAAAGATTTGTTGAATTTATTTATTCATGTTGTGGTGATTTTTAAATTCTTTTATTTTGATAGTAGAATTATTTTCTGTTGTGACATAATCAAGTACAACCTCACCCAGAGCAGTGTTTTGCACACAGCACACATCAGATTAGTGAAGAAGAAAGAAACCTCAACTAGATGGTACAGTAGGAGATTCCAACTTTTATTTTGCAAAGAGCAACAATTCAGTAGCTTTCCATTACCAAAAATAACTATGGACGAGCTTAGGAGTCCACTTAAGTCACAGAAATACAGCAAAGGAAAAACACAATAATAGCTGTACAAAATAGGTAGGAAGAGAAATTTCATTTTGCCTGCATCACCCCATCCCTTGAGCCAGTACAACTCAGCATAAAAGGGGAACTCCCTAACTCTTGTGGGCCCTTTACAGATGAAACAAATAAACAAAAAAGACTGCTGGATGTAAATCCAGGTTCCCCAGCTTTTTGGGACTCTACCAGAACCAACAGCACCAGTTATATCCAACCCAGATCTCTTTAGTGGGTGAATAGGACAAGAGGAGCATAGCAGAATTAGAGAGGGAGGGAGAGAGAAAGGGAAAAAAATAAGGGTAAATTAGGTATATTACCTCTGTTTTGATAATAATTTGGTCATTATTTTAGAAGAGTGACCCCACAGTTTTGTGTGCTGGAAAATAAAATAAAGAAGTCTTGTTTTTCAAAAAATAGCTTTTACTGGGGAGTCGCCAAGATGGCTGAATAGGAATAGCTCTGGTCTGCAGCTCTCAGCGTGATTGACACAGAAGATGGGTGAGTTCTGCATTTCCAACTGAGATACCTGATTCATATCATTGGGACTGGTTGGACAGTGGCTGCAGCCCACAGAGGGTCAGCTGAAGCAGGGTGAGTCCCTGACTGCTTTGTAGCCTAACTGGGAGACAGCTCCCAGTAGGGGCCAACAGACACCTCATACAGTTGGCTGGCCCTCTGGGATGAAGCTTCCAGAGGAAGGATCAGGCAGCAAGATTTGCTATTCTGCAATATCTGCTGTTCTGCAGCCTCCACTGGTGATACCCAAGCAAACAGGGTCTGGAGTGGAACTCCAGCAAACTCCAACAGACCTGCAGCTGAGGGACCTGACAAACTAACAAACAGAAAAGAATAGCATCAACATCAGCAAAAAGGTCATGTACATCAAAACCCTATCTGTAGGTCACCAACATCAAACACCAAAGGTAGATACAACCACAAAGATGGGGAGAAACCGGAGCAGAAAAGTGGATAATTCTAAAAATCGAGCACCTCTTCTCCTCCAAAGGATCACAGCTTCTTGCCAGCAATGGAACAAAACTGGACAAAGAATGACTTTGACACGTTGACAGAAGTAGGCTTCAGAAGGTAGGTAATAACAAACTTCTCTGAGCTAAAGAGGATGTTCGAACCCATCACAAGGAAGCTAAAACCTTGAAAAAAGATTAGACAATTGGCTAACTAGAATAAACAGTGTAGAGAAGATCTTAAATGACCTGATGGAGCTGAAAACCATAGCACGAGAACTTCGTGATGCATGCACAAGCTTCAATAGCCGATTCAATCAAGTGGAAGAAAGAGTATCAGTGATTGAAGATCAAATTAATGAAATAAAGCAAGAAGAAAAGGTTAGAGAAAAAAGAGTAAAAAGAAATGAATAAAGCCTCCGAGAAATATGGAACTATGTGAAAAGACCAAATCTATGTTTGATTGGTGTACCTGAAAGTGATGGGGAGAATGGAACCAAGTTGGAAAACACTCTTCAGGTTATTATCCAGGAGAACTTCCCCAACCTAGCAAGGCAGGCCAACATTCAAATTCGGGAAAAACAGAGAACACCACAAAGATACTCCTCGAGAAGAGCAACCCCAAGACACATAATTGTCAGATGCACCAAGGTTGAAATGAAGGGAAAATGTATTAAGGGCAGCCAGAAAGAAGGTCAGGTTACCCAGAAAGGGAAGCCCATCAGACTAACAGCAGATCTCTCAGCGGAAACCCTACAAGCCAGAAGAGAGTGGGCGCCAATATTCAACATTCTTGAAGAAAAGAATTTGCAACCCATAATTTCATATCCAGCCAAACTAAGCTTCATAAGTGAAGGAGAAATAAAATCTTTCACAGACAAGCAAATGCTGAGAAATTTTGTCACCACCAGGCCTGGCTTACAAGAGCTCCTGAAGGAAGCACTAAACATGGAAAGAAACAACTGGTACCAGCCACTGCAAAAACATGCCAAATTGTAAAGACCATCCATGCTATGAAGAAACTGCATCAATTAACGGGCAAAGTAACCAGCGAACATCATAATGAAAGGAACAAATTCACACAAACAATATTAAACTTCAATGTAAATGGGCTAAATGCCCCAATTAAAAGACACGGACTGGCAAATTGGATAAAGAGTCAAGACCCAACAGTGTGCGGTATTCAGGAGACCTGTCTCACGTGCAAAGATGCATTTAAGCTCAAAATAAAGGGTTGGGGGAAGATCTACCAAGAAAATGGAAAGCAAAAAAAAAAAAAAAAAAAAAGCAGGGGTTGCAATCCTAGTCTCTGATAAAACAGACTTTAAACCAACAAAGATCAAAGAGACAAAGAAAGCCATTACATAATGGTAAAGGGATAAATTCAACAAGAAGAGCTACCTATCCTAAATATATATGCACCCAATACAGGAGCACCAAGATTCATAAAGCAAGTCCTTAGAGACCTACAAAGAGATTTAGACTCCCACACAATAACAGTGGGAGACTTTAACACCCCAATGTCAATATTAGACAGATCAATGAGACAGAAGGTTAACAAGGATATCCAGGACCAGAACTTAGCTCTGCAACAAGAAGACCTAATAGACATCTACAGAAGTCTCCACCCCAAATCAACAGAATATACATTCTTCTCAGCCCACATCACACTTATTCTGAAATTGACCACATAATTGGAAGTAAAGCACTCATCAGCAAATGTAGAAGAACAGAAATCACAATAAACTGTCTCTCAGACCACAGTGCGATCAAATTAGAACTCAGGATTAAGAAACTCACTCAAAACAGCACAACTACATGGAAACTGAACAACCTGCTCCTAAATGACTACAGGGTACATAATGAAATAAAGGCAGAAATAAAGATATTCTTTGAAACCAATGAGAACAAAGACACAACATACCAGAATCTCTGGGATACATTTAAAGCAGTAGGTAGAAGGAAATTTATAGCACTAAATGCCCACAAGAGAAAACAGGAAAGATCTAAAATCGACACCATAACATCACAACTAAAAGAACTAGAGAAACAAGAGCAAACAAATTCAAAAGCTAGCAGAAGGCAAGAAATAATTAAGATCAGAGCAGAACTGAAGAGAGAGCGCCAAAAAATCCCTTCAAATTATCAATGAATCCAGGAGTTGCTTTTTTGAAAAGATCAACAAAATTGGTAGACTGCTAGCAAGACTAATAAAGAAGAAAAGAGAGAAGAATCAAATAGAGGCAATAAAAAATAATAAAGGGGATATCACCACCGATCCCACAGAAATACAAACTACCATCAGAGAATACTATAAACACCTCTATACAAATATACTATAAAATCTACAAGAAATGGATAAATTCCTGGACAAATACATTCTCCCAAGACTAAATCAGAAAGAAGTTGAATCCCTGAATAGACCAATAACAGGCTCTGAAATTGAGGCAATAATTTATAGCCTACCAACGAAAAAAGTCCAGGACCAGATGGATTCGTGGCCAAATTCCACCAGAGGTACAAAGAGGAGCTGGTACCATTCCTTCTGAAACTATTCCAATCAATAGAAAAAGAGGGAATCCTCCCTAACTCATTTTAGGAGGCCAACATCATCGTGATACCATAGCCTGGCAGAGACACAACAAAAAAAGAGAATTTTAGATCAATATACCTGATGAACATTGATGCAAAAATCCTCAATAAAATACTGGCAAACCGAATGCAGCAGCACATCAAAACACTTATCCAACACCATCAAGTCGGCTTCATCCCTGGGACACAAGTCTGGTTCAAGATACGCAAATCAATAAATATAATCCGTCACATAAACAGAACCAAAGACAAAAACGACATAATTATCTCAATAGATGCAGAAAGGGCCTTCAAGAAAATTCAACAGCCCTTCATGCTAAAAACTCTCAATAAACTACATATTGATGGAATGTATCTCAAAATAATAAGAGCTATTTATGGCAAACCAAGAGCCAATATCATACTTAATGGGCAAAAACTGGAAGCATTCCCTTTGAAAACCAGCACAAGACAAGGATGCCCTCTCTCACCACTCCTATTCAACATAGTTTTGGAAGTTCTGGCCAGGGCAATCAGACAACAGAAAGAAATAAAGTGTATTCGATTAGGAAATGAGGAAGTCAAATTGTCCCTGTTTGCAGATGACATGATTATATATTTAGAAAACCCCATCGTCTTAGCCCCAAATCTCCTTAAGCTGATAAGCAACTTCAGCAAAGTCTCAGGATATAAAATCAATGTGCAAAAATCACAAGCTTTCCTATACACCATTAACAGACAAACAGAGAGCCAAACCATGAGTGAACCCCCATTCATAATTCTTACGAAGAGAATAAAATACCTAGGAATCCAACTTACAAGGGATGTGAAGGACCTCTTCAGGGAGAACTACAAACCACTGCTCAATGAAATAAAAGAGGAAAAAAACAAATGGAAGAATATTCCATGCTCATGGATAGGAAGAATGAATATTGTGAAAATGGCCATACTGCCCAAAGTAATTTATAGATTCAATGCCATCCCCATCAAGCTACCAATGACTTTCATCACAAAATTGGAAAAAAACTACTTTAAAGTTCATATGGAACCAAAAAAGAGCACACATTGCCAAGACAATCTAAGCCAAAAGAGAAAAAGCTGGAGGCATCACGCTACCTGACTTGTATACTACAAGGCTACAGTAACCAAAACAGCATGGTACTGGTACCAAAACAGACGTATAGACCAATGTAACAGAACAGAAGCCTCAGAAATAATGCCACATATCTACAACCATCTGATCTTTGACAAACCTGACAAAAACAAGAAATGGGGAAATGATTCCCCCATTAATAAATGGTGCTGGGAAAACCTGCTAGCCATATGTAGAAAGCTGAAACTGGATGCCTTCCTTACACCTTATACAAAAATTAATTCCAGATGGATTAAAGACTTAAATGTTAGGTCTAACACCATAAAAACCCTAGAAGAAAACCTAGGCCATACCATTCAGGACATAGACATGGGCAAGGACTTCATGTCTAAAACATCAAAAGCAATGGCAACAAAAGCCAACATTGACAAATGGGATCTAATTAAAGAGCTTCTCCACCGCAAAAGAAACTACCATCAGAGTGAACAGGAAACCTACAAAATGGGAGAAAATTTTTGCAATCTACCCATCTGACAAAGGGCTAATATCCAGAATCTACAAAAAACTCAGACAAATTTACAAGAAAATAACAAACAACTCCATCAAAATGTGGGCAAATGATATGAACAGACACTTCTCAAAAGAAGACGTCTATGCAGCCAACAGACACATGAAAAAAGGTGCATCATCACTGGTCATCAGAGAAATGCAAATCAAAACCACAGTGAGATACCATCTCATGCCAGTTAGAATGGCAATCATTAAAACGTCAGGAAACAACAGATGCTGTAGAGAATGTGGAGAAGTAGGAAAGCTTTCACACTGTTGGTGGGAGGGTAAATTGGTTCAACCATTGTGGAAGACACTGTAGCGATTCCTCAAGGATCTAGGACTACAATTACCATTTGACCCAGCAATCCCATTACTGGATATATACCCAAAGGATTATAAATCATGTTACTATAAAGACACATGCACATGTATTTTTATTACAGCACTATTCACGAACTAACCCAAATGTTCATCAATGATAGACTGGATTAAGAAAATGTGGCACACATGCACCGTGGAATACTATGCAGCCATAAAAAAGGATGAGTTCATGTACTGTACAGGGACATGGATGAAGCTGGAAACCATCATTCTTAGCAAGCTATCACAAAGACAGAAAACCATACTCCATGTGTCCTTACTCATAGGTGGGAATTGAAAAATCAGATCACTTGGACACAGGGTGGGGAACATCACACACTGTTGTGTGTGATGGGTTGTGGGGCTGGGGGAGGGATAGCATTAGGAGAAATACCTAATGTAAATGAAGGGTTGATGGGTGCAGCAAACCAGCATGGCACATGTTTACCTATGTATCAAACCTGCACATTGTGCACATGTACCCTAGAACTTAAAGTATAATTTAAAAAAATAGCTTTTACTTTTATCAAACATACATACTTTAAAAATCAAGTAGACTTGATAAGGCTAGTATAAAAACCCTGACTAGCCCTACATTATCATTTTCTTCTCAGAATCAATCACTTTCAGTCCCTTTAACCAAGTTTGGTAGTGACATACTTTCTTTCAATATTTAGTTCATCTTCAGGCAAGAGTGGGAAAAGGATAGGATAGTCCCTTGTACAGTGGAGAAAGATAGTCTTTTCAATGGTGTCAGGCACACTGGACATCTACATTCAAAAGAATGAAGCTGGGCTCTTCCCTTACACCATATACAAAAATTAACTCAAAATGAATGAAGGACTTAAATGTAAGACCTGAAATCATAAACATTCTAAGGGAAATAATAGAAAAAGAATTCATTGATCTTGGCCTTGGCAGTTATTTTGCAGACATAATTCCAAAAGCACAGTCAACAAAAGCAAAAATAAACAAGTGGGACAACATGAAACTAAAAAGTTTCTGCAGAGCAAAGGAAACCATCAACAAAGTGAAAAGCCACCCCATAGAATAGGAGAAAATAAATTGCACACCGTATATCCAATGTACATTAATATTCAAAATACACAACTCAATAACAACAAAAACAAAAACAAGTAACCTGATTAGAACGTGGGCAAAAGACTTGAACACATATTTCTCCAAACACTGCAAATGTCTAATGGGTATGTGAAAAGGTGCTCAGCATCACTAATCATGAGGGAAATGCAAATCAAAACTATATGAGCTATAACTTCATACTTGGTAGGCTGGCTATTGTCAGAAAGTAAAATGATAACTATTGACAATGTCGAAAAAAAAGACACCTTGTACACTGTTGGTAGAATTATAAATTGCTACAGGCATTATGAAAAATGATATGGAATTTCCTTAAAAAACTAAAAAATAGGGCTAAGTTAAGATCCAGCAATCCCACTTCTGGGTACATATCCAACAGAATTGAAATCAATATGCAGAGGAAATGTTTGCACACCCATATTCATTGCAGCATCATTCACAATAGCTAAGATATGGAAACAACTCAAGTGTTGTTGGATGAATAGGTAAAGAAAAGATGACATATACATTGAGTAGAAATATTTTAAGTGTCTGTCAATGGATGAATGAATAAAAAAAGATTTTATGTGTGTGTGTTTCTGCGTGCATGTTTGCATATGTGTGTACAATAGAATATTATTTAGCCTTTAAAAAGCCTTTCATAGATGAAGAAATCCAGCAGTTGTTAAATGTTTTCAGTCAGAAATACATATTTCCAGCACAAATAATAATTTTTAAAACTATTCCAGTATTATGTATTGCTGCATGTCAGTTGGAGTGAAATTTTCAGAGACAACATCTCTAAGGAATTCTAATGATATGTCACAGACGGAATAGGTGAATACAAAATGACTCATTTTGGAAAAATAAAGGTTAGAAGGTTCAAAACTGGCTATGCTGATGAGAAACACAATGATTCTTCTGTGCTTGCAATGGGCCTGAAAATAAAAAAGAAACTTATGTTCTTGAATCTTGGTATTAAAAATACCTCTAAACATATTAATTTACATGTAATTTTAAATGTTTATGTGTAATATCTATTATGCTTAACTATTGCTATAAAAGTTTAATTCTCTAAAGGATTCTTTTATCAAGCCAGACAAAAAGCTCTTTTGTAAAGTCTTCTCATTGTGAAAATGGGACCTGTCTCATACTTGAAACATGTTATATTTAGGTGTTTGTCTTAATCTATCTTTCTCTAATACCTTCTATTCATGTAGATTTTCTTAATAATTGTATTTTATTAAGGGAATGACTCCTGCAAAGATTAACTTAAATATTAAATTTTATTGATAATAAAAACATGATAACCCCACTCATGCCATTTATTAATAATTTTCCTCTTTCTAGAGCAAAGTGTCAAATCGTATAAAGGATTTTACATTTTCAATTATCACCAGAATGTTCTCTTATTTGTTTCTAACAAAGATGGAAAACAATATCTGATTGTATTAGAACATATCTGATCTGGTAACTGAATGCACAAGATTCATGTTAATTTCCCTTTGCTGTTCATACTTTAGACCCAGAAAATTGTTGCATTTTTAAAAGGATAAAAATATGAATCTTATCAGATATATTTTAGCTTCCATATCTAGTCACTTCAAATGCTAGATATATTTTGCTACAGATCTGTCTTATGTAATATGTATAACATTAACATGATCTTAGACACTTATTTGTGGCAACTAAGCTTATGGTCTGATAACTTTGGTCAGTGAGTATACATTGATTTAAATTAAATATAAAACCCACATGAGAAAATATAGTTTTATGTCTGGCTTCAGTCACAAGGCCTGAACAATCTGACAAGAAAATTCTTATTATAGTTATTTATGGAACTATTACATTGAAAAATATATTGTCTATTCAAGAAAGCACAAAATACTACAGTTTTTTAATGTGGGATGTTTGTACTCTTATTTTATTTTACTTATATTATTTTCTGAGTGGAATTAACAATCTTAATTCTTAAAACTACACAATAAAATTTATCAATGACAGATTTCTACTCTTCTAAAGCATTCAGTCCTCATCACTCCCATTTAGAAATATTACGTGTGATCTTTATTTCAATATAATTAATCAGAATCTGTATTGTTACCAGTTTGCCTCCCATATTTAATCAAAAGAGCCTTGAAGATGGGTTTTTACCTTGTTACCAATCTGATCATTGAGTCACCCAATATGCACATCACCTACTTGGGGTTAAATAAATACTAAATGACTCAGCAAATGAAAGAAGTTTGAATCCATTAAGGTCTGGACATCAGGGCTTTATTTATTATGTTTGCTAGTATATAAAGAAAATTGTGCTTCTTATTCCCAGATCAGGTTTTCCTCACTGAATAGTGGACAGGGTGGACACAAAATGTGGTAAGTATATTCATGTAGAAGATGACAATATGTATCCTTTCATATGGTTCAAACACAAAAAATAAACACACACACCACTTTTTGGTATTAAGTATATTGGTAACATGATATGTTGATTCAAAATATATAACTAATTCTATATTAGATTGAATTCAATATATACCACATTTACTAACCAGATCTGGAATAATTTACAAGTGTTATGTAAATTAGGTTGTAAAGATCACTTGTAACACAAGAAACTTCACAATTTAAACTTACGACTCAAAAGGTCAGTTAGTCAATTACTTGTTTTTCCCCTAGAACCATGTTTGTTGCTTAAGTACAGGATTTTGGCACATAGTATTAATAATTTATGTTTCCTTTCTTCTATAATCTTGAACTAAATTAAAACAGCAAATAGGGATAGACAGAGTGGTATGAAAAAATGAGGATCTAAGCCTAACAAAATGTTCATGGAAGGCAAATGTTAAATATTAACTTTATTATGATTAATTTGGAAAACTAAGCAGTCAATTCCAATAAACAAGTGTTATGAATATAAATGATAAAGGAGACACACACATGTGCATGCACATACACACACACATAATTTAGGTCTTAAGGTATTTAATCTCATATTTATCAAGTTTTTGCTCACTTTGCTAGGCCATTCTATAACAGTAGTAATACATATACATTTTACTATTAACTAACCACAATTTTATTATTAAAATATTAACTTTATATAATAATAGCTAATGCCTTCTTCTTAATTTAATATGTGTGACTGTACATAAGTAGCAAATCTGTGTTCTTATATTTGTTTTTTAAATGATTCAGCCCTTAACAATGATCCAAGGAAACCTCAAAAAGTGTGAGCTGCTGTTGTCTGTATTCACAGGGCATGTCATTTTGCAAATATTTAAGGAGCACTAAGCTGTATCATTTCCTAGTATTTAATGACTGAGAGGTAAAGGTCAAATTTGTCTCTCTGAGTATTAGCTTTCTCTGGTACTCTAGAGTTCTGAAACTCTGATAGTGATAAAATATAGATAATTTTATTAAAAAGACTGTTCAACTCACTGGTAGTACTGTATGGTTCTGCCTTCTTAAACAGTAACATCTTAAATGTTCTTTTGATGGAGTTAGTCCTACAGGGTTATTTTTCACAGTTTGTTTCTCATTTCATCAAAAATAAAATAAGATAAAATTTCCAAAAATTTCAATGTAGTTATTGCTGAACTTGATATTCCAAGATTACATATGTGTGTGTGTATATATATATGTGTGTGTGTGTGTGTATGTGTGTGTGTATTATACATATGTATATATAAAAAATTTAACAGAAAGCCTATTATTGTTCCACACCAAAGGTTAGTTTCAACAACTCATTCTACGTATTCTAAGAATTATATTATTATTCTGAGTCATATATCTAAATTTAAACAATCTTTCTATAAATATAACATGTTTTATTCATAAAAATCAATTGTTTTATTCACTTCGTATAAGAAATACAATAGTAAGCCCCTATTTGCATTCTCTTTCTTGTTCCCACAGAATGGGAATTTTTAATATTCTATTTCCCAAATTTAATATTCTTTCACTTCTCTCCCACAGTATGTTCCCCCTGTAAGAGTCAAAATGTTAATGACATCCCCATTCTGTTTCATTCATCTGCATGTTTGTCATGCCAGTACCATAGGGTTTTAAGTACCATAGCTTTGCTATATATTTTGAAATCAGGCAGTGTAATACTTCCAGCTTTGTTCTTCTTTCTCAAGGTTACTTCAGCAATTCAGAATCTTTTGTGGTTCCATATAAATTTTAGATTTTCTCTTCTATTTTTGCTAAAAATGCCCTTGGAATTTTGATAAGTATTATATTGAATCTGTATACTGCTTTAAGTCATACAGACATATTAAAAATATGAAATCTTCCAATCCATTATCACATGATAGCTTCCCATTTATTTGTGTCTTTAAAATTTCCGTCATCCAGAGCGAGACTCCATCTCAAAAAAAAAAATTCTGTCATCAATGTTTTATAGTTTTCGGTGTACAGATCTTTCATTTTCTGGGTTATGTTTATTCCCAAGCACATTATTATTTTTGATGCTATGGTAAACGGAATTGTTTCCTTATTTCCATTTTTGGATAGTTCATTATTCATGTATACAAAAGCAACTAAATTGTGTATGTTGATTTTGTTTACTGTCAATTTGCTGAACTTGTTTATTAGTTCTAATAAGTTTTTTGTGGTGTCTTTAGGGATTTTTATATATAAGATTCCGTCAACTGAAAAAAGAGCAATTTTATTTCTTTCTTTTCAATTTGGAGTTCTTTTATTTATTTTCCTTGCCTAATTGCCCTGACTAGCGCTTTCAGTACTATGTTGAATAGAAGTGGCAACAGAAGGCATCCTTCTCTTGTTCATAATCTTAGAAGAAAAGCTTTCTATAAAGACACATGCACACGTATGTTTATTGCGGCATTATTCACAATAGCAAAGACTTGGAACCAACCCAAATGTCCAACAATGATAGACTGGATTAAGAAAATGTGGCACATATACACCATGGAATACTATGCAGCCATAAAAAATGATGAGTTCATGTCCTTTGTAGGGACATGGATGAAATTGGAAAACATCATTCTCAGTAAACTATCGCAAGAACAAAAAACCAAACACCGCATATTCTCACTCATAGGTGGGAATTGAACAATGAGATCACATGGACACAGGAAGGGGAATATCACACTCTGGGGACTGTTGTGGGGTGGGGGGAGGGGGGAGGGATAGCATTGGGAGATATACCTAATGCTAGATGACGAGTTAGTGGGTGCAGTGCACCAGCATGGCACATGTATACATATGTAACTAACCTGCACAATGTGCACATGTACCCTAAAACTTAAAGTATAATAAGAAAAAAAAAAAAGAAAAGCTTTCTAATGTGTAGCTAAATTTGGATTGCTTGTATTTTGTTGGAGATTTCTGCATCTATGTTCAACAGGAATATTGGCCTGTGGTTTCCATTTCTTATGGTGGCTTTATCTGACTTTTGTATCAGGGTAATGATAGCCTCATAAAATTAGCTGGGAAATGTTCCCTCCATTTCAACTTTTTAGAAGAGTTTCAGAAGTGGTGCCATGAATTTAGTTTTAAATCGTTGATAGAATTAACCACTGAAGGCATCTGATACTGGATTATCCTTGTTGGAAGGTTTTTGATTACCAATTCTATATCCTTTCTCATTATTCATCTGTTCATATGGTCAACTTATCTTCAACAGAGATGTTAAGAAAATACAATGGGGAGAAGATAGTTTCTGTAATAAGTTGTGCTGGGAAAATGATATAAACGTTCAATAGAGTAAAATTGGATCATTATGTCAGACACAAAAATCCACTCAAAGTGGACTAAATACTTAAATTTAAGATCTGAAAGTATAAAACTCTAGGAAAACAGAAGAAAAACTTCCTGAAATTGGTGTAAGCAATGATTTGCTGCATTTGACAAAAAATGTACATGCAACAAACACAAAAATAGACAAGTGAGACAACATCAAATTTTGCAGAAAAGCTTCTTTAAGGCAAAGAAAAAAGGTCAACACTAGTTGGGTGTGGAGCGCATGCCTGTAATCTCAGCTGCTCAGAAGTTGAGGCAGGAGGATTGCTTGAGCCCAGGAGTTCCAGGCTGAAGTGAGCCATGATAACACTACTGCACTCCAACCTGGGTGACAAGTAAGATTCTGTCTCTGTGAAAAGGCAACATATTTAAAGAACACATATTTGCAAACCATCTATTTAACAAGGGGTTAATATCCAAAGAGTGTAAGAATCTCCTATGTCTCAAAGCAGAATAAACAACCTAATTAAAAAATGAGCAAAGGACTTGAATAGGCATTTCTTCAAAGAAGACATACAAACAGTTGCCAGGTATATGAAAGGTGCTCAATACTACAACTAATTAGGAAATGCAGATCAAAACAACGATGAGATATCACCTCACACTTGTTAGGATGGCTATGATAAAAATAAGTAACTACAAGTGTTGGCAACTATGGGGAGGAAGAAAACAAAAGCAGAGTTGATGGAAATGTAGAATGCTTCAGGCACCATGGAAAACAGTATGCAGGATCCTTTAATAGTAATTGCATTAAAAATAGAATTGCTACATGATGAAGCAATCCCACTTCAGGAAATATATCCAAAATAATTTAAATAAGGTTTTGGAAGAGACATCTGCACCCCAATTTTCATGGAGGCATCATTCATAATTACCAAGATAAGGAAATAATCTACATGTCTATCAATAGACAAATAGATAAAGTAAATGTGTTTCAAATATTATTCAGCCTTAAAAAAGGAAGAAAATCTTACTGTTTGTGACAACATGAATGGACCAAAACATTATGCTAAGCGAAATAAGCCAGTTATAAAAGGATTTCATGATTCCACAAATATAAAGTATCTGGAATAGCCAAACTCATTGAAGCAGAGAATACAATGGAGCTTGCCAGGGGCTTGAGATGGGAGAAAATAGGAGATTGTTCCTCATTTGTTATACAGTTTCAATGGTGCAAAATGAATAAGCTCTAGGGATCGATGTACAACATAGTTATCTGCAGTTAACAAAATGGTATTGTTCACTTTAAAACTTATTAAGAGGATAGATCTCATGTTAAGTGATTTTACCAAAAACAAAAACAAAGAAAAACCCCACCAAAGGACAACATAACTCAAGGAAATTTTTGGAGATGATGGATATGTTTAGAATCTTGATTGTAGTATTCGTGTCATGAGTTTATACATATATTGAAATTCATCAAAATTTAGACACTAAACATGTACGATTTTGTATATCAATTATACCTCAATAAAGGTTAAAGCAATAAATACCCAAAATATTTGACTGCTTGTTTTTAAATGTTTTATGTACTTAACATTCTTTATTTTCCCCTTAATGTATTGGTTTTATTTAGCAGGCCTTGATGTGGTCCTATAGACAATTTTGAAAATGCACTTTAAAACGGAACCTTTAAGTTTGACAAAAATATGAGAGAGGTTGCATTCAATGGGATTTGATTTGTGAAGAATTCACCTCCCCCTTTCCAATGGCATACATGTGCAAACTTCTATTGTTGCTATGATGCCAAACATATTGGAAATGTTTAAATTACTGACTGTGAGGGTTCTTTACAACTGGAAAAAAATCATTATTTGATTTTTTATCCATAGTAATGCAAAAAAATATGTTAAACACATTTTCTCTTACTTCTCCTCCTCCTTGTTTTTTTCTTTATTTCTCCTCCTCCTTCTTCTTCCTTTTAGGACTAGCAAGATGATTTAATCAGCTCTAATCCATTTTTGTTGGCTATCCTCTAACTCACTGGCCTAATTATGAATTCCTTCATAGTACAAAATGTTTCTTTTTGTTTTGATTTTTTAAAATACAAAAGCCACTTTATGTTAATTCAATTATTTTGGTCTGTTGTTTTCTATTTTTTTAAATGAAAGTTTCCTGTTCGTGTATGCATGCCAAGTATAAAAAAAATCAAGATCTGATCAAATTATTCTGTTGTTTTAAGTGCCTTACAGCATTACATTTGTTTCCTTGGAATTCATGTTGTGTACAGTCCTAGTGCCATTATCTTGTTTCTCTGCGCTTGGTCCAAGGGTTGGGTGAGATCCACAAACTTTCACTCAGATTTCATTATAGCATTGATATCTGAGAAAAAAAAAACCCTTAACTTTCTTCTGATGTTTTTAAGCTTGGAGAATATAGCTGCTGACATTCATCATGTTCACAGTACTGATCAAGTTTGCATTTAGTATCAAGGCCACCATAGACAAATAGAGCTTATAAATGGATAAAGAACCTAACTAGCATTCTTGAGGTCCAGGGATTCAATATCTTCCAAATCCAAGCCCACATCTAGTCTTCCCAGATAAAAGCTGAAAAAAAAAATGTTTTCATTGATTTTTTTCTTAAACATAAGTTAGAATTATTTCAATTGAAATTATAATAGTCCAAGAGGTATTTTAAGATTAATATTCTCTTCAGATTTCTATTGCTATCTTTCTCTTTCTGATACTTTCTTTAATGTAATAATAAAGGTAACTAGTTTGCAGTCAAAATTGGTTCTATCTTGAGAAATATTTTGTCTCATTAAGACAAACTTACATATCTGCAATGGTCCCATATGTGTTAGCTTTATATTTAATCTAAAAAAAAATCCTGATTTCCCTTATTTTCAAATCTTTGGCAGGCCACTCATTATTGCTGCCAGGCATTCCTACACACTCTTTCTTATGTTCGTCCAATTCACAGTTCTAAATGTGTACTTTAACAGCGTACAGCACAAATCTTCTATCCACTCTTTATGGAAGTTCTCTAAATACTTTATGGAATCTATCATGTTCCCGTAAGCTACATTTTATTCATGGTGAAATTACCATTTGTTCCTCATTTACAAGATATCAAAAATCTCAGTTACATTCATTGCCTTCTTGGAGTTACATTCCAGATTGTCAGTTTTTCTTTTAAAATATTACATGAAATTTACTAAAGACCACAATTTAGGTTTAGGATGGAAAGTGACAATAACATCTGTCAGGTGTACTTAGTTTATACACATTTTGTCAAACTAAACATATTATCTCATATGTAGAAAAGTCCTGATGCTGGACAAATATTCAGATATCTCCACAGTTAGGTTTGAGATATCCCTGCAAATTCTTTATTTTTTTATTTTGTATTTTTGAGATGGAATCTTGCTCTGTTGCCCAGGCTGGTGTGCAGTGGCACAGTCTCGGCTCACTGCAACCTCTGCCTCCTGAGTTCAAATGATTCTTCTGCCTCAGCCTCCCGAGTAGCTGCAATTACAGGCATGCACCACCCCCAGTCCTTAATTTCTGCATTTTTAGTAGAAACGGGGTTTCACCATGTTGGCCAGACTGGTCTCACACTCCTGACCTCAAGTGATCCAACTGCCTCAGCCTCCCAAAGTTCTAGGAATACAGGCATGAGCCACTGCGCCCAGCCCAAGTTACCCCTGTAAATCTTTTACTATGAGTTGGATAACTCAGAGTCAGTAAACTTTGATAAAACTAAAGGAAGCAGTATAAATACTTTCCAATTAAATTTTTAAAAAAATTATTTGCATTAGACACTTTCTGTTTCCCTGGGTTGGGAGGTCTGTTCTTCTCTAACCTCCCTGCTTTCTAACTCCAACCAGTCACAAACTCAGCCCAATCAAACCTTCATCAGGATAGTCATGTTTTCGGTGTAAGATTGACTGCCTATCTAAGCTGCTACAACTCCAGCAATAACTGGAAGTTTTTACCTTCAAATATATGACTTTTATTTCTAAAGATTAAATTTTCAAAATGGTCTTGATTTGGTTTTAAATCAATGAAATGCTAGTGAAATCATGATGGAGTGTATTTAGATGAAGTTTTAGAAAAAGATCATTTTCTTCCACTGTGCGTCTAATAAAAACCATTTAATAAATTCTTTCCTTGACTGGCTGACAGGGTCATCTTCCAGAAGATTGGGAACATAACAAGGAAACTTCAATTTTTACTTAATTTTGACAAAAAGACCATCCTGCCTACAGAGAAATAGTGATGAGAAATGTAGGGAAAAAATGTATCAACTTCATGAGTATAGTTGGAAGTACATTCTTCTCTGCAGAAAAGCAGATTTTAATATTTAAGAAGATAATGAAATAATTCTGTGGTAATATAATATAACAACTTAGAAAATTTTAAGAGATTGAAGACAATATAGGACACTGACAAAAACCACCCAATTCTGGACATGCCACTTATGAATGATATAAACTTTTGCATTATCTGTAACAGAAGGATAATAATTGTGCATATCCAAGGCTTTGTTAAGAAGCTTGAATGAATTAAAATATATAAAATGCTTAGACAAGCACCTAGCAAAGGATCTGATTGAGACATTTTAATAATAAAATTCTGTAAATTTAATAAATGATAAGTAGAAGAAAAAGGAGCACTATAAAAACAAGTGATGTAGCAGCTCAGATAATTTTCCAATAAGGATTAATGTATTTCATAATAGGTAAAGAAGGGATACTTAACTATGGACAAATACGTGTATAGAATGAAAATATCATAGTCCCAGTGTGTATACTACAAAAATAAATTGGCACTAGTAAAATACATCAAAAAGAGCAAGAACATTTATGAATATGGATATACTCAACATTTTAGGCAAATCTTAAAGAAACAAAAAGAACTACTAAATATAATATATTTGCTTTTTCTCTATCAATGAGAACAATTTGCAAACTGAAAAGTGTTTGAGATGTATAGCTGTGAAACCTCTTCTCTGTGACAAGTGAAGAAAAACATTAAATCAATTGAAATCTCTAGATACTGAGGATTAAAAATGTGATGTGATAAATAATTTAAAGTGTGATTGTGCAATCATTGTTGGCTATCATCTATGAAGTGTTACAAACAACAGGTTAAGGGCCAGAATTTAGAAACATGTAAATGATACTACACTTTTATAAACGGGAAAATAATATATTTTGGAACCTACAGGCAAAGTGCAGTAAAAGTTGTCGCTGGCAAAATTTGGATACCAAATATAAGCCAAAGAGTTTGTAAGCAAATTTGTAGTTGACAAAGAGCCAGGCTTACAAAATTCTAAACCCAGTCTTTCAAGTTTCTTGTTTTGTAATTCTGGTCAAGCTATCTCACTCTCCTGATTTACGAGTTTTCTCGTCTAAAATGGAAAAGATTATGTCAGACACTATTTGATGTCTATTTTAACTAGAATATTTTTTAAACTTATAACTGTGTGATTCTGCCATTGGCACTGGCAAAACCTCCCAAACAAAACATGTTTTGTTGTGTACATATTTGTGTGTACAAATAAAAGATGATAAAAATTAAAAGTAGCTTTGTTAAATAAAAATAAATCTAGACGGATGACATCAGGAAGACAGTGGAATATGAGGCTCCTGACTTTCCCACCTCCCACAAAGTTACAGAATAAACATTTCACACATGAATCAATTCCCTCTGAGAAAAAGCTAGAACTAGTTGAGAAATGCCTACATGTCAGGCAACTGTGAAAATGGACACGTAGAAATGGATAGGAAAAGATAAGACACATTGGCTCACAGACCCCTCCCTGGCACAGCACCTTATGATCAGAAAGGAATTACCATCTCCTAGTTTCTCCTTGAGGAATGAAGGGATTGGGTCATGCATATAGCACCCCAACTTCTGTATCTTCACTTTCTTGCCCAGAAGGTTTGAATATTAAATTACGTTGCATTTGGGACAAAACAGACTCTGCATTTCCAAGTCTCCCTAATCTAATGTGAACAAAAATATGGTTTTTAATAAGTACACAAGCACTTCCAGCAGCTATAACCCTCAGGATCACTGCAAAGAGAACAGGCTAAAATCCCCAGCTACCAGTTTTTCCCTGGAAGGGAATCTTCTGCGTATTTTTCCAGATGCTGCCCGAGTGTAGGCTTCTAAGGAGCTAGAAGCAGAGAGACAATGGGGCAAATAAACAGTGGGCCTCTGAGAGTCTGAATGGAAAAGTGGGCACTTTCTTTTCTTTATTCCCCAGCTAACTCCAGTGATAAATTCAGGTCTTTATATTTTCCCAGGAAGGAGGGTGTGCATTCATTGAGTGCCCCAACTTTTAAAACTGCCACCAGAGATACTGGTTTCTAAATGACCTAGCTCTGGGAGTTGAAGTGGTTCTCGATTCCCAAGTCTCTCTAAATCACAGAGATAAGGAGGTGGCTTAAAAATGGGTTCACTTACAGCTGCCATCCTCCAGTGTCAGAGTGTGGGGTCTGAGTGAGAGTGCAAGCATATGTTGCAGATTTTCTCCCATGCTTACTGGAGAGCCTACTGTAGAGAAAACTCTAACTCAGCTTTTCCTTAAAGATCCAAAGAATTAAAAGACATACCTAACATGCTAACTTTTACAGCTACATCTTGAGGAGCTGAGTTTTATCTCACCTGTTTCGGGGGTACTGACAGAACTTGGCACACCTTAATATCTTGGGGACCCTTAAGGACAGAGGCAATGGTTTGGACAAGCACAAAGGTTTGAGAGGTATCTAGAACTTCTAGTTGGACAAAATTGGTGAAGTTCTCCTTCTACAGGAAGACAGACTGACAAGACTGGGAAAGGGGGATTGGCTTATCCAATGAGCAGAAACCATAACAAACAGTTAAAAAAAAATGAAGCCATAATGTTCCAATTAAAATAACAAGATAAATCTCCAAAACACAACCTCTATTAAGTAAAGATATGAGATTTACCCAATAGAAAATTCAAAGGAATTTTCATACAGATGTTCACTGAGACCAGGAAAGCAGTGCATGAACAAACTGATAATTTTAACAACAAAAAAAGAAAATATAAAAATGTACCAAACAGAAATCATAGAGCTAAAGAATACAATACTTACACTAACACATTCAATAGAGTGAATCAGATGCAGATTAGATAAATTGGAAAAAAAGACCAACAAACTAAAAAACAGGTAATTAGAAGTCAGTCAACCTGAGGAGCAAAAAGAAGGGAATCTTCATGAAATTATCAGTACATTTTTTAGGAGAAACTTTGAAGAACAGAAAGAAGTAGAATGATATATTCAAAATGTTGAAATAAAAGATTTCAAATGAATAATCCTATAATTAGCAAACCTGTCCTTCAAAAAATAAACCTTTTAGACAAATGAAAGCTGGGGGAGTTCATAATATTTATGCCTGCCTTAGAAAACATGCTAAAAGAGGTTCTTTAAGTTGACATAAAAGGTTTCTAAACACCACCACAGAAACATAAGAAATTTCGACACTCATTGGCGAAGGTAAAAATATAGGCAAAAAAAGAATATTTTATTACTATAATAGTAGTAAGTTAATTAATTATAATCCCACTAAGAAGTTAAAAAATAAAAGTATTAAAAGCAAGTATAACTACATTATGTTAATAGAAGCAAAATGTAAATAGTTGTGACAACAATAGCAAATAAAGTGGAGAGACGAAACTTAAAATTATAGATTTCTTGGATACAAGAAATTTAAGTTGTTACCAACTTAAAATATACTGTTACAACTATAAGATTTTCTACGTAGGTTCCTTGGCAAACACAAAAATAACTGTAGCCATTATACAAAGGAAAAATATAGGTATGAAACCATTGCAATATATATATATATATACATATCTAAAAATAAAATAGGAAGAAAGAAAGCAAGATAGAAAAAGAGAGACAAAAGAACCACAAGACAAACAGAAAACAGTTAACAAAAATGCCAAAGGTAAATTCTTTCTTATTCAAGAATCACTTTAAGTGTAAACGAAGCAAACTCCCAAATCAAAAGATATAAATTGTCTTAATGAATAGTAAACAAGATCCACCTATATGTTGTCTATAACAAACTCAGTTTAGATTCAAGGGTACATCCTGGTTGAGAGTAAGAGATGAAAAAAGATACTTTATTCAAGTGGTAACCAAAAGAAAGGAGAAGGTCAGTGTGCAGATGGGTGGGAAAATTAGAAAAATAAAAGTAGTGGCTATACTTATGTCAGACAAAATAGACTTCAAGTCAAAAACAGTCTTTAGAAACAAAAAAGATGATTACATTATGATAAAAGGATCAATTCAATAGGAAGATATAACATATGTGTATATATACACTAAATATCAGAACAGGCATATATATATATATATAACGTTTCACACAATAGCAAAAATATCTACATTCTTCTCAAGTACATACAAAATATTCTTCAGTATAGGTCACATAAAAGATTACAAAATAGGACTTAACATATTTAAGAGCAAAATTGTACCAAGAATCTTCTTTGACCACAATGGAATAAAACCAAAAATTGGTAATAGTAAGAAAATGAGAAAACTCACAAAAACATGGAAATGAAACAACATACTCTTGAGCAATCACTGGGTACAGCACAGGTCAAATGGGAATTTAAAAACTATCATGAGGCAAACTAAAATAGAATTGAACAAACTTATGGGATGTTGTACTAGCCAGGGTTCTCCAGAAGAACAAAACCAATGGGATATAAGTGTATATGAAAGGGAGTTTATTAGGGAGAATTGGCTCACAGGATTATAAGGTGATAGGCTGCGAGCAAGCTGGGGAAAGTGAGAAGCCAGCAGGGGCTTATTCCAAGTCCAAAAGCCTCAAAACCAGGAAAGCTGAAAACTCAGCTGCCAGCCTGAGGCTGAATGCCTGAGAGTCCCCAAGAAACCGCTGGAGCAAGTTCCAGTGTCCAAAGGCCCAAGAACCTGGAATCTGATGTCCAAGGGCAAGAGGAGCAGAAGCAAGGATCTGGCATGGAAAGAAGAAAGGGAACCAGAAACTCAGCAAGCAAAGTTGTCCCACCTTATTTGTCTGCCTTGTTCTAGATATACTGGCAGCCTATTGGATGGTGCCCAATCAGACTGAGGTTGGGTCTTCCTCTCCCAGTCCACTGACTCAAATGTCAATTTCCTGTGGCAAACAGACACAGAAATAATACTCAAATGTCAATCTCCTCCTCACAAACATACCCAGAAACAAGATTTTACCAGCCATTTAGGCATGCCTCAATTCAATCAAGTTGACACCCATGAAGTTGACAGCAAGCTGACACTTAATCATAACAGATATAGTAAAAGCAGTCATGAGGGAAGTTTATAGCAATAAATTCCTAAATTAAAAAGCAGAAATATCTCAAATAAACCATCTAACTTTACACTTCACAAAACTAGACAAAAAACAAACTAAAGCAAAGTTAGTAGAAAGAAGGGAATAACAGATCACAGTAAAAATAAATGAAATAGAGAATAGAAGAACTACAGAAAAAAATAAAAAATACCAAAGTTTTTTTTAATAAACAAAATCAACAAACTCTTAGCTAGTTTGTCAAAGAAAAAAGAGAAAAGATTCAAATAAAATCAGAAATAAAAGAGGAGACGTTACAAATAATGACTCAGAAACTGAAAAAGATCATAAGTGATTATAAACAATTATATGTAAATAAAGTAGATAAACTAGAAGAAATTCTTAGAAACATGCAACTTATCAAGACTGAATCAACAAATAGAAAGGCTCAATAGACCAAAAACAACAAAGACTTGAAATAATAATCAAAAGTCACCCAGTGAAAAAAAAAACTCAGGACCACACAGCTACACAGCTGAATTCTATCAAATATTCAAAGAATGATTACCAATCTTTTATGAACTCTTTAAAAAAATAGAAGTAAAGGTAATATCTCCAGCATCGCCTTGATACCAGGTCAGACAAACACAAATATAAGAAGAGAAAGCATCAGAACAATATCTCTTATGAGCATAGATGCAGAAGCCCTAAAAAAATATTAGCCAACCAAATTTAATGTCACATAAAAAAGATTATACAAAATTACAAACAGGGATTGATCTTGAAGTGCCAAGTTGTTAAAAATAGGCAAATTCAATTGACATGATATAGCCCATTAACAGAATAAAAAGATAAAAATCACACAATCATTCAATAGCTGCAGAAAAAAAATGACAAAATTTGACATTTGTTAATTATAAACACATTTAATTAAATGTGTATAGAAATAAATTTTCTCAACTTAATAAAAACCATTTATAAAAAGCCTACAACTAATATCATAAACAATGGAGCAGAACTCAAATCCTTTTACATAAGATCTGGTATGAGGCCAGGATACCCATCTCCTCATAGTACTAGAAGTACCATTAAACATAGTACTAGAAGTACCAGCAAAAGCATTCAGACAAGAAAAGGAAATAGAAGCAATCCAAATTATAAGGAAAGAAATAATTATCCTTGTTGTAGGTGCTATAATCCTATGTATCACATGTCCCTAAAGACTCCACAAGAAACTGTCAGAACTAATCACTGAATTAAGTAAAATAGCAGGATACAAAATCAACATGCAAATATAAGTTGTATTTTTATGTTAATAATAATCTACCCCAAAAAAAGGAACTTAAAAAATCCCAT